>NT_187646.1:0-162212 GCF_000001405.40 Homo sapiens
CACTGTGAGTCCAACATGGTTCTCCAAACTTACACATTATCTCATCAACCTACACAGTGGCACTTTGTTAGAATAATCATCTTTAGCATGTATATGAGAAACAGGAGGCAATAGGAATAAATTTGTTAGAAGTTGAATAAAACCAAAATTTAATTTTACTCCAAATCTCCTTCTTTAGAGAATGCAATTTATTGGTTACATCCTGAAATATATATATATACACACACATCTTATATATGCAAAATATTATGCATAACATTACATATATAACTATATTGCATATGTTTATATACATATTTACATACTCTATATTTACATATGTAATATGTATATGTAGATATATGTAATATTTATGTATTTAAGTACTTACATATATAAATATGTGCAAATACATATTAGGTATTACATATATAGGATGTATATATATTATATCACAGAATGAAACCAATAAATTGCATTCTCTAAAGAAGGAGATTTGGAGTAAATTTAAATTTTGGTTTTATTCAACTTTAACAAATGTATTCCTATTACCTCCTGTTTCCCATATGCATGCTAAAGACGATTGTTCTAACAATGTGCTACCATGTGGGTATGTAAATGTAGATATGTACATATATACATATAAAACATATAATATTACATATTAATATGTAGTAGAATTATATATGTGTATATGTATATTAGATTATATATAATTATCTATGTTCTCTAAAGTCCACTGATACTCAATGTCATGACTCAGGGTATCAGTAGAATTTAGAGATGAGGACATAAAAATGTGTTAGGAGAGAAACAACCTCACAAGGGGAAGACAGAAGGGAAGACACAAGGGAAAGACAAAGCACCTATTTATAGTTTCTTCCTGTGGCTTGGAAATTTTCACCACGTGGTGGCCTAAGTTTAGGAAGACTACTTTACATGATCGCTAAAAGTTTTAGGAATTGCTGTTCTAGTGAGTGAAGCAGAAGTTGCTTCATCTTTATAACCTAGTCTTGGAAGTTACAAAGTATATTGTATTGGCTCAAACAGTCACAAAAACCTGACTAGTTTTAAGGAGACAGGTCATAAAATGATGAAGATTTTTATAATCTTTAGAAACATCAAAGTGCCTCAAAACCCAAAATAGGTAAAAATAGATTTAGACATAAAACAATAAGCAAAATACTACATTTAAAATGTCACTTTTGAGAGATAATATCATACTATTTGATATATATCAGGAGCCAAAAACATAAATTTGAATTTTAAGGATCCATGTCCATCAGTGCAAATTATCATAGTACTAGGCAAAAAGAGGAATTTCATATGGCTTTCTTAGCATAAAATGAAAATAACTTGGTAATATTCTATATATATATATATATTATAATAAGTCATAGAACACTAGACAAAGAATGGAAATAAAGTCCGGTGATGCTTAACAATGGGATATATTTGAGAAATGCATTGTTAGATAATTAAGTCATTGTGTGAGCATCATAGAATGTACTTACACACACCTAGATGACATAGCCTACTACACATCTAGGCTATATGGTATGGCCTAGTATTCCTAGGCTACAAACCTGTGCAGAATGTTCCTATACTGAATATTGTACATAATTATAAAACCACTGTAAATATATATATATATATATATATATATATACACACACATACCTAAACATAGAAAAGGTACAAGAAAAATATGGTATAAATGACATAAAATGATGTGTATACCTGTGTAGGGCAGCTCCATTATATTCTTATGGGGCCACTTCGTACATGTGGTCCATTCTGGACAGAAATGTTCTTATGCAGTGCATGCATGTACTTAAGGTACCAAAGTTTACATAAAGATTGATACATTTATTTTACAATTAGAATTAAGATGGGAATGATCACTATGACCACAATTGCTTAAAATTTTGATGAATGTCTTTTAGAGAAAAACACTAAATTAACAGATACTCTATTAAACCAAGAAGATAGTTTATCAAGACCAGTCTATAAAATTATGTAACATTTTTTCTATGCCAGCGATAATGATTTGAGAAACATATAATAGAGTACTTGATAACAAAAACAAGTGTATAATATATAAAAATTAATATAACATAGAATGCAAAAATCTGCCTCAATAGATACAATTTAAAAGTGTAATAAAAGACTTACTAGAATATTGGAAAAAGTAGGCATTCTGTATTCAAGGATGGGATCACAATATAACCTTGTAAATTCCACTCAATACAAATTTCTAAATATTTATTTTAAAGACCTAATACAGCTTACTACATTATTCCTTATTATAAATTAACTAAGAGATAATAAATGTCCAAAATAACTTAGTAAATGTTGAAAAGTAAAGAACAAAGATGAGTAGTTTTCCTAATACCTATTGCTATATAACATAAAGTCATATTTATAACATCATCCTGATACATCGTAATATACACATCTCTATAATCAAATATAGAGAAACAGTTGGGACACTATTGCTCTCAAAAGTCAACTTACAATATATGAAACAGTATCTAATAAAGGAGAAATTTTATATTGAAAGAACAAAACATGCTATTACTCGATGTAGGAAAAACTTGCTCAACAACTAAAGAAAAAAATTATATTTCTATTTAAAAATATATAGAAACTAGACTTCAGATTAAGACTTAAATACATAACGTAATGCTATAGAGTTACTTGAACGTAATAGAAAATAATCTCTTTCTCATAAAGTGGAAGGGACACATAACTTCAACAGCAAAAGATTAATGAAATATATTTAATTACATAAAAATTAATAATATTTATCTAGTGAATGACATCATGGGCAAACAACATACTAATACAAATTGAAAGAAGATAATTTGCATCTCAGAGACAAATAAGCCAATAAAACCTAAAATATTCAATGTATTCCTACACATCTTAGGATGCCCATTTTAATTAGTAATCAGATAATTACTTAATCAGAGAATTAATTACTTAATCAGAGAATTACTTAAGATGCCCAGTTTAATTTGTAATCAGAGAAAGGGCAATTAAACAAAATAAAATATTACTTTAGATCCAATAAATTAGCAACATTTCAGGAGCTGAATAATGCTAAATGGTGCAAAAGATGTGAATGAATAAGAACGCTTGGAACTACATTTGAAAACATGATCTGATGTTGGTATCTTTCTTTTTTTTTTTTTTATTTTGAGAAAGTCTCACTCTGTCATCCAGGCTGGAGTGCAGTGGCACAATCTTAGCTCACTGCAACCTCCGCCCTCTGGGTTCAAGCGATTCTCCTGCCTCAGCTTCCCAAGTAGCGAGGATTACAGGTTCATGCTACCATGCCCAGCTAATTTTTGTATTTTTAGTAGAGACAGGGTTTCGTGGTGTTGATATCTTGAAGAGCAATCTGCTGGTGTCTAGGAAATTTATATTTTCATATCAATTAGAAGTCAGCAATTCTGCCTAAGCCCATTTATACCAAACAAATTCTCAGAAAGGTCCAGAATAAAGAAAATAATCCAAACAAGTTAAATATTATTTTTAGTTATAAATAAGTTATCAATAATAACATGGAATTAAAGCACAAAATTGTGATTTTTTAAAAACAAAGCCAAGATTTAAGTAGCTTACGATGGAAAATAAAGCATAAAGAATGCTTAATGCATTTTTTTTTGACATGGGGTCTGGCTCTGTCACTCAGCCTGGAGTGCAGTGGTGAGATTATAGCTCATGGCAGCCTAGAACTCCTCAGCTCAGTCTCCTGAGTAGCAAGGACTGCAAGTATGCGCCACCACACCCAACACATTTTTAAATTTTTTTTGTAGAGATGGGGTCTTGTTATGTTGCCCAGCCTGGTCTCAAATTCCTGGACTCAAGTGATTCTCCCACCTCAGCCTCCCCAAATAGTAAGATTATAGATATAAGCCACTGTGCCCAGCCTGGAATGCTTAATACTGTAAAAGCAAATAAAATAATGACACAAGATAACACATCTTCAGTAACATCAAGATTTGTTTATAAGCTACAGAAATAAAAACCAGGTAGGGGGTTGGGGGAAAGAGGAGGGAAAGCATTAGGACAAATACCTAATGCATGCGGGAGTTAAAACCTAGATGATGGGTTGATGGGTGCAGCAAACCACCATGGCACACTTTTGCCTATGCAACAAACCCACACATCCTGCACATATATCCCAGGACTTAAAATACAATAAAATTTAATAAAGTAGAAAAAATTATTAATATATACACATGAAATATAAATATATATGCACATACACATGTGGAAATAGAAAAAATGCGCACAGGATTTGACAGATATTTCACAAAGCAACAGTTAAACACATCAAAAGTCATGTAAACATTAGTAATCAAAAAGGCACATTGAACAATGATGCACCTATCAAATTGACTAAGACGGAAAAGTGCATAGAATTCAGTCCTGGTACATGTAAAGTTTATTGCTGTGATGCTGTAACACAAGTTGAAAACATTTTTGGACAGGGAATTTAGTTTATGGATATTAAGAAATTTGAAAACTTTGTATCTTCTTGCAAATCACTTTAGGAAAAAACACACTTAGAGAATGCTATCTGGGAAAGGTGGCGGGGGAGAGTATACGGAAATGTTGGTCAAAGAGTTAAAAGTTGCAGTTGTGTAGGATAAATAAGTCTAGAGATCTAATGTATAGCTTGATGACTATAGCTAATAATATTGTATTGTACACTGGGAAGTAGCCAAGAGAGTAGGTTTCAGGTGCTCTTAGCACATGTAGACACACACACACACACACACACACAAAGTAAAGATGGACATGCTTATTTTCTTGACTGTAGTAATAGTAATAATTTCACTATGTATATAAAAATATGTTGCATACCTTAAATATATACAATAAAAAGAGAATCCTTTGTACATAAGCTATTAAAAATGTCAAACAATTTATCACTTAGAAATTTGAACACAACCTAAATAACCACTATTTGGATTTTAATTGTGGTATAATTAATTTGATAGGATATCAATGTCTAGTCACATATATACACTTAACCTATTTTAAATAGAATAGATTTAATGTACAAAAGTGGTTACAGGGTGGCACAAAGGGCTGGAGGGAAGGCTGATGCAGCAAGGAGCCGAGTGTTATCACTCACAGACCAGGAGTTGTCACCAGTGGCGCCTCATATGCTCCTCAGTGCTGAGCTGATGGAGACCGCACGCCCAGGGCTGCTTGTGTGACTTTCCCATGCTGATATGCGGCAACTTAGATGCCCTGCATCCCCACAAATGCAGCTGAAACTGACTGTAAGCCCACAACTCCCTCAGGACCCCTGCTGCCTGCAGTTGCTGCTGCTGCCGCCACAGATCATCACCAGAAGCAGGAAATAAGACACAGTTTCCTTCTTTCTCCTGCTCTCCAGTGTTCCACCAGGGCCTGCCCTCTCATAGCCTTACAGGAAACCAGGTAGCACAGGAGTCAGGACAAGCTCTCTGCGGGCTGAAGCCCTAGAAGTCAGCGGAGACACCAGCCCTAAAGTGTGGGCCCAACAAACAGAAGACAGACACCATCTGGACAAACGTTTTCATGAAAAGACTTCCGTGACATGGTAACATGATCAACATCATTCTAGAACACACGCACAGAAAACGGTTCAGAAATACTTGTCTGCAAGATCCAAGAGGGTGGAGTTGCTTCCACCTAGTTACCTATTTTATTCCAACTGTCTGCTACATGGTGTACACTTCATAAATATTCATAGTATGAAGTCAAGACATGAATTTTAAAGTTTTGTTTCTATCTGAACTATTACATTATGGTTGATTTTTAAATTTTATTTGTACTAGACTGTGATTTTAGATTTTTTAGTCATATCAATATTTAAAATAAAAACAAACTTTAAAATTAAATGCATCACTAAAGTAACAGAGCTTGCAGGTGAATAACAGAAGAAAGAACATAACAAGCTAATGAAGAGTGATAGCAATGAAGATGTGAAAAAGACAACCTCAATTTTAGTATGGAGTTCATTACTGATCAGCGATACTCTCTTTGACACATCAACTGAACTCTGAGTTTCAAAGCCTATATTTGTGAAAGATTGGAACACAAATAGCAATATTTTATAAAAATTTCCTAAAGTTTAAAGGAGGAGGCACATACACATGAAAATATTGTGTAAAACACAAAAGGCCATATATAACTAACTCATATATCATAGGTAAAAATTCATTAGTAATGGCTAACTTTGAGATTATTGTTAATATTTGTTGAGATTTTCAGTTTAACAATAAAAGAAGATTAAATAACAACAACAAAACAGCTGGGCACAGTGGTGTGTGTCTGTAGTACCAGCTATTCAGGAGAGTGATGTGGAGGGGGTTCACTTGAGGCCAGGAGGTCGAGGCCTTTGTGCACTGTGATCTCACCTGTAAAAATCTACTGCACTCCAGCCTGGGCAACATAGTAAGATTCTGTCGCTTAAAAAAAAATGAGAAGAAAATCAGAAAAGGGCAACAGAGATATCTATTAGCTTCTTTAGCTCCTTTATTTGCATTCGTCTTCAAAACCCCAGAGAGGACTTATTAACAGAAAACTTTTATCTACACCCCTAATGGACACAGTGAAGCCAGGGATGATGTCACTTTTGTTTTTCTTTGCACACTTAAGCCAGCCACACACCATGAGCCCCTCCAAATGAGGGTCAAGACATCATCTGATGGTGAGTTACACCAGATAGGTAGACAGTATTGCAGGAACAAAAGATGGTCACGGTTCTTGACTTGTTCTGCTTTTGAAACATTTCTATTAGTTCTTGACTGTATTTCCTCATTTCCCTCTATCATCTATTTTTATGGAGAAAAGCCAATCTGTTTTATTTTTCCTTTGAGTCTCATTTTATATAATACTTATTTACTGCAACATATTAGTAAACGGGTTTTTCATTTCCAAAGTATTTATGGACAAAATCATATATATTCTTCCTCTGTTATTGAATGATACATTTGTTTTAGTGGGATGAAAATTTTGCAGAGGAAAAACAACTAATTTTTCTTTGAATGGAAATTAGGTCTTAGAGTTAGAAAACACTAGCAACAAATGTTTCAATCATATTTATGTTTCCCTGGTGAAACCAATAGTGAGTTATCTAAAACCCAAATTTTAGTCTACGGAAGCAGGACTGTGTCCCCAAGAGAACTGAGGTAAGTGACATGCTCTGGGTCCCGCACCTGCACCGATGTACTTACTCCATGGGGTTAGCTGTGTGATGTTAGATAGATACCCCAGAACTTGAACTTTTAAATCTGTAAATGGTGAAATTAGATTATATACCTCATAGGTTCTTGAGGAAAATTAAATGTGGTAAACTGGCATTAAGAACAATTCCTAGGATACTGTAAGCTTCACATAAATGCTCAATATTGCCCTACCACCACTATTAATTATTCCCTGGGTTAAACATGCATTGTGCTGTTTGGAAACTCAAGCAATGTGATCAAGAAAAATAAAAGAAAGAAAAAGTCCAGTTGTGCTGCATGCTGCAGTCACAGTTTTCCCTCACTGATCTGGTGTCCCAGGTCAGCTGTTCAGCGTGGCTTAATGACAGGGACTTCCATTTACAAAAGTGCAGCAGAGATTTGCCCAGCATCCACCTCCCATCCCGCACTGCCCTCTTGGTCTCCCTCCATTCACTTAGCAAACAGCTGCCCAGTCTCCGCATCTAATTATTATTCTCCAAAACTTGAAAATATTAATAAGTCTAATTAGAATTATTAAAAGAATTCAAAATGTATTTGAAACTTGGAAATTCTTCCTGAAATATGACTGTATGATAACCACTGCTAAAGTCTTCCCTGAAAAAGGACCCTATATTTTCTTCCTATTGATAAATACTAAAATTTAACAACATGTCAGAAATCGAAAAGTTGCAAAGTTTTAATCTTCTTAAGAGAAAATGTAGGAGTTATCAGTGATTCTCTTCAGAAAGGTTAAATGTATTTTGCTTCTATTAGCCTTGTTAATGTAGCTCATAGCTATTCTAATCTGAAGTTGTACTTTAAATCATGTTTATATGTTTTTTCCTGAATAGACTGACTGTGACCTCCTCAAGCTTAATCAAATATAATTTGTCTTTGATTCCTGCACTAGCTAACACAGAGTCAGGCTGTGAGTAGCAAGATAGAGGAAGGAATTTAATTGAAGTGAGAGACATCTTAGTGTTTTATTTTCTTTTCTGCCTCACAGTTTCCGTGAAAAAATTCACTGTAGCAGGCAATAAAGCAGATATTTGCAAAAACACCAAAAGCCTTACCTGGTAAATAGCAGGGAGTTTCTAAATCCCAGTTATGCCCCCCTGAGATTTAATGCGAATGACAGGAGCTTTAAGGAGTTAAGCTTGGAGAAGCATGCACTAGTCACAAAGAAGGTGGATTCTGCATAAATCTCTGCTCAACATGAAAATAAGAGACATACCTTACATTAATATATGCATTTCTATTTGTAAATATGCATATACAATGTATTCTTATATTTGTAAATCTGCACATATATAAAAATGCATATCTATAAATTTATATAAAATAAATGTAAACTGTATACATACAAGTTGTCTGGGACTAGAGAAATTATCAAATCCAAATTCTTACAAGTCTGACTAAATGATAAAATCAGCAAACTGAAGTAATGAAGCTCATATCATAAGATGATTATAGTAATACAGTCTGCAGAATAATTTGTGTAGATATTAACTCTTTGACAGTGTATGTATTTGTTCATTTGTAACTGGTAATATTCTAAGCACTTTCATTACTTTTCTGCATTTAATCTTCATCAACCCTGAGGTCAAACCTTTTCTTACCATCTATTTTTATGTGCAGTAAACAGAGGAATAGCAGGTAGAGGGGAAGCTGGGTCCACCCTGCAGTCCAGCCACGGTCCCTGGGCTCCTCACCCCATGCGACTCTGGTTTCTGAGGAGTCTGGTGTGTAGGAGGACCCTGGCTTGCTCATGGGGATGTGTGGGGTTTTGCTCCACGAAACCACAGAGCCTCACAGCATTGTCCAATACTGTGGGTAGAAGGGTGCAAATGTTTGGTATGGATTTTCCACAAGTGATATTTTAGTCATGTTCTAAATCATTCCTATATGGAATACACTTTTGGGAGTTTTTAAGATTCCAGATGGATCCTTAAACCAGAGAATGTAATTCACTTTAGACTTCTCTAAACAACTCTAAAAACAGGGGGACAAAATTCTCCTTTGTTTTCAATAATTCACTATTCATGTCTGCATAAGGCAGTGACACTGCCAGTTTCCAGGACTTGTTTATAACAGACACTCTCATCGGGAAATCTCATGACTCAGAACTGTGGCAACTTCACTACAAATCACCCTTTTGATCCACAGTTGTGAATTCTTAGTTCCTGGTAAATTTTTTGAATTGCAGATAATTTATAACACCCAAATCTACAGGCCCATGGGCCTTTCTTTGGTTAGAACACACACACACACACACAATTTGTTTCAGAGGCTCAAATTACTTTAACCCCAAGCTTTCCTTTGTGGCCTAGGTGAAACCTCATGGACAACATCACCTGGATGGCCAGCCACACTGGATGGTCGGATTTCATCCTGATGGGACTCTTCAGACAATCCAAACATCCAATGGCCAATATCACCTGGATGGCCAACCACACTGGATGGTCGGATTTCATCCTGTTGGGACTCTTCAGACAATCCAAACATCCAGCACTACTTTGTGTGGTCATTTTTGTGGTTTTCCTGATGGCGTTGTCTGGAAATGCTGTCCTGATCCTTCTGATACACTGTGACGCCCACCTCCACACCCCCATGTACTTTTTCATCAGTCAATTGTCTCTCATGGACATGGCGTACATTTCTGTCACTGTGCCCAAGATGCTCCTGGACCAGGTCATGGGTGTGAATAAGATCTCAGCCCCTGAGTGTGGGATGCAGATGTTCTTCTACGTGACACTAGCAGGTTCAGAATTTTTCCTTCTAGCCACCATGGCCTATGACCGCTACGTGGCCATCTGCCATCCTCTCCGTTACCCTGTCCTCATGAACCATAGGGTGTGTCTCTTCCTGTCATCAGGCTGCTGGTTCCTGGGCTCAGTGGATGGCTTCACATTCACTCCCATCACCATGACCTTCCCCTTCCGTGGATCCCGGGAGATTCATCATTTCTTCTGTGAAGTTCCTGCTGTATTGAATCTCTCCTGCTCAGACACCTCACTCTATGAGATTTTCATGTACTTGTGCTGTGTCCTCATGCTCCTCATCCCTGTGGTGATCATTTCAAGCTCCTATTTACTCATCCTCCTCACCATCCACGGGATGAACTCAGCAGAGGGCCGGAAAAAGGCCTTTGCCACCTGCTCCTCCCACCTGACTGTGGTCATCCTCTTCTATGGGGCTGCCATCTACACCTACATGCTCCCCAGCTCCTACCACACCCCTGAGAAGGACATGATGGTATCTGTCTTCTATACCATCCTCACTCCAGTGGTGAACCCTTTAATCTATAGTCTTAGGAATAAGGATGTCATGGGGGCTCTGAAGAAAATGTTAACAGTGGAACCTGCCTTTCAAAAAGCTATGGAGTAGACCATTTTGAGAGTAATTTACTTTTCCTTCTCTCTGCACTTCACATATGAGAATGTTATACCAGTGTTATTTCCCAGACTCCAAGACTGCCATGGTGTTTGATCTCATTTTCACACCTCTTTTAGAAATCGCTTTCCTGTACTAGAAACTTTTCAATTTACACTCCGTCTCACTTCAAAATGCATTATTCAGTCATATTATATTGATGTTACAGTTACTGAAGTTCATAACTACTTTCTAATTCTATAGGATATTTTCATATTCTGGGAATACATAATGATACTACTTAGAGGATAAAGGTTATAAGGCATAAAATTGAGAGAGAGGGAGAAATGAGGAAGAAAAAGGGTTCATATAGATGTTCTTTGTACTACTTTTATTTATGCTAATTTTCTGTAAAATTGAAATTAATTTTAAATAAATAATTAAAATATGTCCCCTCCCTCCCACCTTTTTTGAGCAGTACACATGATATAATATCTTAGAAAACTTGCTGATTGCAATGTAGTTATTCACTGCTGAGACAATCCAGCCATTTGTCCACCCTTATTGGAGGCTGTCTTGGCCCACATGGTTGGTTCCTGAAAGATTAAGGTCTGTTATTGAGGTTAACAGTCTTCATCAAGTGCTGGGTTTTGAATCCCGAATTCCGTTAAGAGACTGTGGAAAACATATTAGCCTGGGGTGAAAAGAAGCTTTAGAGAAGATTTCCAGCACAAAGTGACATCTGAGCTGAGTTTTGAAGTATGTAATTTATTAGACAAATAAGAAGAGGTAGAGTATCAAATATCCAATTGTTCATTTATCCAGTAAATATTTGTTATGCTATATTAAATCTAAAATATTCACTAAAGAAAATTCAAAGGTGAATACTACATACTGCTTTCCCCAAGAAATTTGAACTAGTAATTCTGTGTGCAAATAGGTGCTATAAAGTGTATGAAATGCTTTGATGCACATGTGGAAAGGGTATAGCTCATTCTGGCACCTCGCTTCTTCCTGTGCTGTGCACATTCAATCAAGCAGAAGATGCTGAGTGCAGCCCCAGGAGCTCAGTGTTAAAGGTGCCTAGCTGTTCCCCTCAGATAACTACACATGGCTGGGGAAGGGGGAGGGACTTTGTCAGGGATGTGATTATGCCTGGGAAAAGGCACAGCAAGAGCAAAGGTCAGACAATTGACCAAGCAGGAGTGGCAAATATTCTAATCGTGCCTTCTTTCCTGTTTTATTTTGTGGAATAATTCCTTGCTTTCTGTGACCCAGATGTTTACAAACAGTAGAAAATGATCAGTCTTGCATTTCAGAAATATTACTTTGGTGACAATAGATTGGAGAAGTGCAAACCTGGTGGCAGGCAGACCAGGTGAGTGAGGATGGTGAAATGCACGAACTCAGTGGAACGATGTGTACCTTACCACCAGGAGGGACTTAGGGAGAGGAAATGTTTGGGGTATGCAGGGATGTGAGACTTTGTCAAACCAATTGGATTATAATTACAGACCTAGTTGCAGGTGTATCATTTTCCAATTGCCTGTGTCCAACTTGTGAAAAATCAAGTGGCTTCAGATTTACAGATTCTGCTTTCCTCTTGACAATATGATCCTAAACATGTAAAACTTAAAATCTCCACAAAAGCTCTGTTAGAACAATTGAAAGCCTTCACATAAAGTTGCAGAAATCAAAATCAACATACATCAATAATTTTTCTATGCACTAACATCAAACTACCTGAAAAAGAAATTTAAAAACAATTTTATTTATAATAGTGTCAAATCAAACAAACAAAAACTTTGGGATAAATTTAACCAAAAGGGTTAAATATCTACACTGAAAAACATAAAACATTGATGTAGGAAATTAAAGAAGACACCAATAAATGAGAACTATCCCATATTCATGGATTGGAAGAATTAATATGTTAAATTTTTCATATTACCCAAAGGGGTCTATACATTTAATGACATTCTTGTCACATTTCAATGTCATTTTTCACAGAACTGGAGAAAAAAATGATTTATATGAACAGTAAGAACAAAAGGGGAGCATCACACTACTTTTTTTCTAAATATATTACAAAGCTATGACACTCAAAACAGCATGGTACACGCATTACAAAAGGCACATTGACCAGTGGAACAGGATTTAGAGCCGAGAAATAAACCCACACATTTATAGTCAATTGATTTTTGACAAATGTGCCAAAAACACACCTGAGGAAAGGACTGTTCCTTCAACAAATGATACTGGAAAAATTAGATATCCACATGCAAAAGAACAAAATTGAACCCTTTTCTCACACCATATACAAAAATCAATTCAAAATGAATTAAACTTGGATATAAGACCCGAAACTGTAAAGCTACTAGAAGAAAATATAGGGAAAAGCTCTGTGACATTGGTTTGGGCAATGTTTTTCTGGATATAAACTCAAACTCCCATGGAACAAAAGCACAAATAAACAAATCAGATTATGCAAAACTAAAAAGGTTCTGCACAGTAAAGGAAACAATCAATAGAGTGAAGGGACAACCCACAGAATTAGATAAAGTATTTGTAAACTATATTATCTGATAAGGGATTAATAGAAAAAATATATCAGGAACTCAGAAACCTCAATAGTAAGAAAATAAATAACACAATTTAAAAATGGGCATAAGACCTGAATAGACATTTCTGGAAAGAAGACAGACAGATGGCCAACAGGTATATGAAAAATAATGCTTATTATCACTAGTCATCAGGGAAACACAAAACAAAACCACAATGAGATATCACTTCACTCTTGTTAGAATGGCTATTATCAAAAAGACAAAAGATAACAAGTGTTGGTGAGGACATGGAGACAACTTCCCTCCCTCCCACCTCCAACTTTGAGGGTACAGTGGGCTAAACTGAAGAATGCATGAGCTGGGGGAGGCAGAGGATGCTGGGTCCTGTCTCCCCACTCTCGGGGCCGACTCCTTGACCTGATACAGGCAGAACAGGTGAGGCCCCGAGGCTTTACCTTGACTGAGAGCTCTAGCTGTGAGTAGGATCTAGGCATGTTAGTAACGACTGATTCTGGACTGAATGTGCTGGGAGGTCATTTGAAAGTCTAGGAAGGTTGAAAAAACCTCATAGCTTGAACAGGCATTTGAATGAAACCTCAAAGTTCTTTTGTGCTTGTAACTTGAAGACATTTGCTCTTTGGAAATAGCATACACATATACAGACCATCTATATGGTATACACAGATGACAAAGGTTTGTGCTCTCCATAGTTTCTTTTCTTCTTTATTTGATGGATTTATTCTTTCTTGCACACCTGTAATTATATTTCTCTTGACACCTTGCTGTATATCAACTTCTTGAGTTACACTCCTTGTCAATAGTTGAAAAGTTTCTGTCTTTCAGCTTCCAACAAATTTGCTGACGAGTCAGTTGCTGCTCAGATTTTTTAAAAATCAATTTTATATAAGTAGTTCTTTCTATCTGGTGACTGCAAAATGTTAACTTGCATTTACTCTGAAAATAATTCATGTACATATTTTAACTTACTGTTACAATTGCTAACTGTTGTTAATGTATAATTTCTATAAATGTATATCTATTGCGTTGAATATCAGAGTATTAATTTAAAAGTGGTACTTTTTACATATATAACTAGGAGTGGAATAGCAGGGTAATATAATAATTCTATACTTTGTGTTTTGAAAAGCTGTCAAACTGTTTTCAACTATGGCTGAAACATTTTGCATTTCCACCAGCAATGCATGAGTCTTAATTTCTCCATATTCTCACCAACACTTATTACTGCTTAATGAGTAAGGGGTTTTACAGCTTGGGATCGTGGAAATGTTTTGGAACTAGAGGTTGTTGTTGCCCAATATTGTGAATGTATAAGATACCACTGAATTGTTCACTTTAAAATGGTTAATTACATTGCATGAAGTTCACTTGAATAAATTATTTTTAAGTGGCGCTGTTTGTTTGGAAGACTATGAGAGAAATTTATTTTCACATAGGGTTATCCCATGGAACTAGGCAAAATCTTGAGAAATAGTATTTCCAAATAATTCACAATAATTTTTCAACTTATTCCAAGAAGACAACTTCTCTAAAAACATGTAACATAATGGGCCTGGTCAGTTCTTGGTTGATGCTTTGACTCTTTCAGTGTTTCTTATTTTAAAACATGATTTTAAGTTTCAGTTTTGGCTGGGAGAAAATACCCTGTCTAAAGCTGTATTTCAGCCTCTTGCTTTCAGATTTACCAAATTGTCTTTGTTTGACTTAAAAAAAATTTTTAGTTGTCTGTTTCCAACATATTTGCATTGTTGATTTAAAAAAACTTTGAAAAGCATGTGTGTTCATTTGAGAATAATTTTAGCTCATTTTTGATAGGGGAAGTGTATAATTTATTTTATTAGTTCTAAGTCCTCCTTATTTCTAAATTTTATTTTTATGAAATAACATTTTAAATGTGCTTCAAAATATTTCCACAGGGCAGTGTGTGTGTGTGTGTGTGTGTGTGTGTGTGTGTGTGTGTGTGAAAAATAATCATACATTTTATTTAGAGTCGGTTTCCTTTCACAGAAAATTTTCATTAGCTCTTATGCATGAAAATAAATAGTCAAATGATTTACAGTTTTAAAATGTGACCTGTAAATTCAAAAATGTTTAAAAATCATTCAGAGTTCCTATTATAATAGATTTGTATGATAATTTTAAAAAAAATTTTTTTTTGAGAGTTTCACTCTTGTTGCCCAGGCTGGAATGCAATGGTACAATCTCGGCTCACTGCAACCTCCACCTCCCGGGTTCAAGCGATTCTCCTGCCTCACCCCCTCACTAGCTGGGATTACAGGTGCCTGCCACAATGCCTGGCTAATTTTTTGTATTTTTAGTAGAGATTGGGTTTCACCATTTTGGCCAGGCTGGTCTCAAACTCCTGACCTCAGGTGATCCGCCCACTTTGGCCTTCCAAAGTGTTGGGATGACAGGCATGAGCCACCATGCCTGGCCTGTTTGATAATTTTAAAAAATGTTGTTACCATCCACATTTTACTCAATTTTTATAAAACTTATCTTTTATTTTGTTTTTCAGAATAATTTGTTCAATTTAGGCTTGTTTCAAAACATATTTATTTAATTTTGCAATTATATTTCGGTAAAGGAAGGAAAAAGAACAATGAGCATTCCAGTGTGACAGGAGACATGTAACTGCAGTAAACAAACAGCTCCATGATGGTGACAGAGCTACCGGGTGTAGAAGGTACACATTCTAATAGCTATGGTTATTCCCATTCCACAGATACTGATTAACGAGTTTCACAAAAGATATGTTGAGAATGAATTACTTCAGTGGTAGAGTAAGCAGAGATGAATTACAAAAGCTTTTAGTAAATACAGTCAGCCCTCTTTATCCGAGTTCTGCATGTGTGGATTCAATCAACTGCAGATAAAAAATATTCAGAAAAAAATGTTCTGAAGTTCCAAAAAGCAAAACTTGCCATGTTCTGAGCACTATGTTGAATCAATTCCAATGAAGTGATATATAGACCTTGCATGAGGTATAATAAGTAATCTAAAGATGATTTAAAGTATGTGAGAGGATGTGCATAGCTTACATGCACATACCGCAGCATTTTATATAAGGCACTTAAGCATCCTCAGGTTTTGGTACCTACAAGGTGTCCTGGAACCAAACCCCACAATGAATACCAAGAGACAAATGTGTTTTTAAAACAAATGAGAATTGGTCTTGCAGGGTCCTCACCAAGTGAAAGATCACTCCCTGCCTTATGGAGGTGGGAGGGAAATAGGAAAAATTGTATTAAGTAAATGTCTACCATGAAGTCATAAATACGATTTGTTCAAAATACTTAACAGTGAAATTTATATTTTGAAAACATCATTTAATATTGAAAAGAAAAATTAGGGAACGGCTAGTGGAATAAAAATTACATAGAAGAATCAGGACAATGAAGTAAACTTACATAGGGGAAAAGGGAAATCAAAATCATTTGGGGCCAGGCATGGTGGATCACACCTGTAATCCCAACACTCTGGGAGGCGGAGGTGGAAGTATTGCTTAAGTCCAGGAGTTCAAGACTAGCCTGGGCAACATACTGAGACCCCATCTCTACAAAAAATAAAACAATTATCCTGGCATGGTAGCAGGTATCTATAGTCCAAGCTACTTGTGAGGCTGATATGGGAGGATCAGTTGAGCCCAGAAGGTTGAGGGTGTAGTGAGCCATGAATCATACCACCACATTTCAGCCTGGGCAACAGAGTGAGACTCTGTCTCAAAATAAAAATAAAAAAAATCATTTGTAAAACATAAGTGAAATGAATTTAAATACAAGTTTCAAATCAGTATACATGAACGCTAATACAATTTTCTTGAACTAGAGAGACTGTACAAGGAAACTGTGCATCTGGACATTGCTGTAATTTTTTTTTAACAGGGTCTTGCTCTGTCCCCTAGGCTGGAGACAACCTCCACATCCTGGCTTCAAGGGATTCTCATCCATCAGTTTTCAGACTAGCTGGGATTACAGGCGTGGGCCACCACACCCAGCTAATTTCTTGTATTTTTAGTAGAGATGGAGTTTTCCTATGTTGGCCAGGCTTGTCTTGAACTCCAGGTCTGAAGTGATCCACCCATCTCGGCCTCCCAAAGTGTTAGGATTACAGGCATGAGCCACGGCATCTGGCCTATTGCTGTAATTATTGATCATAACTGTGGTCATTAATGCATATATTTTTGTTAAGTTGTTTTCTTGGTTTAATTCAATATGGCTTAGGGATATGGACTGCATATTTCAAACTTTGTAGAATTCTCTTGAGTTTTGTTATGTGGCTGAGAACATTTTATATTGTACAGGAAATTCATAACTTTTGGGCAATGATTTTATCATTCCTTGAAGACTTCTGCCCTGCTCCTCTTAAAGGGCACATTGCCTGCTCCATCCACTCCTGAGTGTTCTTTTCACCTGGAGTGACCTGATCTGCCTGCTCTAGGCTTTAGAAGGGCAGAGGTAATGTGGGTCATTTCTCCACTTCTACCCCAGGCTCTTGAGTGCATCTCAATGTCAAGGTTTATTAAACAGAACAAGAAACCGTTCTTCCTTTCCCGAAATAAATTAATTCTCCTTTTAGATCTCACAAATAAGTGAGAACATGCAATGTGTGTCTTTCTGTGCCTGGCTTACTTCACTTAACATAGTGACCTCCAGTTCCATCCATGTTGTTGCAAATTAAAAGATCTCATTATTTTTTATAGCTGAATAGTACTCCATTGTGTATAAGTACCACATTTTCTTTATCCATTTATCTGTTGATGGATACTTAGGTTGCTTCAAAATCTCGACTATTGTGAAAAGTGCCACAACAAACATACGAGTGCAGATATCTCTTTGATCTCTTTTCCTTTATTTTGGGTATATCCCCGGGGGATCGATGGATCATATGATGGCTCTGTTTTTAGTTTCTTGAGGAACCTCCAAACCATTCTTCATAGTGGTTATACTAATTTACATTCTCACCAAGAGTGTACAATGGTTTTCTTTTCTCCACATCCTTGCCAGCATTTGTTGTTGCCTTTTGGATGTAAGCCATTTTAACTGGGGTGAGATTATATCTCATTATAGTTTTGATTTGCATTTCTTTTATAATCAATGATGTTGAGCACCCTTTTCTATGCGTGTTTGCAATTCGTATGTCTTCTTTGGAGAAATGTGCATTCAGATCTTTTGCCCATTTTATAATTACATTACTAGATTTCTAGACAGTTGTTTGAGCTCCTTATATACTCTGGTTATTAATCCCTTGTCAGATGGGTAGTTTGCAAATATTTTCTCCCATTCTGTGGATTGTCTATTCATTTCATTGATTGATAAGTTTCCTTTGCTGTGCAGAAGCTTTTTAACTTGATGGGATCCCATTTGTCCATTTTTGCTCTGTTGTCTGTGCTTGTAGGGTATTACTTAAGAAATCTTTGCCCAGACCAATGTCCTGGAGACTTTTCCCAATGTTTTCTTGTAGTACTTTCATAATTTGAGGTATTAGATTTAACTCTTTAATCCATTTTGATTTGATTTTTGTATATGGCAAGAGATAGGGGTGTAGTTTCATTCTTCTGCATGTGAATATCCAGTTTTCCCAGCACATTTATAGAAGAGACTGTCTTTTCCCCAATGTATGTACTTGGCATCTTTGATTGCAAATGAGTTAACTGTAGGTGTGTGGATTTCCTTTTTGGGTCTTTATGCTGTTCCATTGGTCTGTGTGTCTGTTTTTGTGCCAGTATCCTGCTATTTTGTTTATATAGCTCTGTAGTATAATTTGAAGTCAATTAATGTGATTCCTCTAGTTGTGGTTTTTGCTAAAGATAGTTTTGTCTATTCAGGGTCTTTTATGGGTTGCTATAAATTTTAGGATTGTTTTTTCCATTTCTGTAAAAAATGTCATTGGTATATTGATAGGGACTGCATTGAATCTGTATACTGCTTTAGATAGTATGGACATTTTAAGAATATTTATTTTTCCCATTCATGAACATGGAATATCTTTCCATTTTTTTGTTTCCTCTTCAATTTGTTTGATCAGTGTTTTATAGTTTTTATTGTAGAGATCTTTCACTTCTGAGGTTAAGTTAATACCTGGGTATTTAATGTTATTCATGGCTATGATAAATGAGATTACATTTTTTCATATTGTTCACTGTTGGCAGATAGAAATGCTTCTGACTTTTAAATGTTAATTTTGTATCCTGCAACTTTACTGAATTTGTTCATCAGTTCCAAGAGGTTTTGGTAACGTCTTTAGGTTTTTCCAAATATAAGGTGATATCATCCACAAACAAGAATAATTTTACTTTTTCCATTCCAATTTGGATGCCCTTTATTTCATTCTCTTGTCTAATTGCTCCAGCTAAGACTTCCAGTGCTATATTGAATAATAGTAGAGAAAGTGGACATCTTTGTCATAATCTAGACCTTAGAGGAAAGGGTTTTAGTTTTTCCCTATTCAGTATACTAGCTGTGTGTCTGTCATATATAGCTTTTATTATGTTGAGTTATGCTCCTTCTATCTTCAGTTTTTTAATGGTTTTTATCATGAAGGGATGTTGCATTTTATCAAGTGCTTTTTTTTAACATCAATTTAAATGATCATATGGCTTTTATCCTTCATCTGTTAATATGATTCATCACATTGATAAATTTGCCTATGTTGAACCATCCTTGCATCTCAGGGATAAATCCCACTTGGTCATGATGAGTGATCTTTCTAGTGTATTGCATGCCAATTGTATTCTCCAGCTCTAGAATTTCTGCTTGATTCTTTTTAATGTTTTCAATCTCTTTGTTAAATTTATCTGATAGACTTCTGAATGCCCTCTCTGTGTTAGCTTGGATTTCCCTGAGTTTCCTCAAAACAGCTACTTTGAATTCCCTGTCTGAAAGGTCACATATCTCTGTTTCTCCAGGATTGTTCCCTGTTGGCTATTTAGTTTATTTGGTAAGGTCATGTTTTTTTGAATGGTGTTGATGATAGTAGATGTTTAGTGTCTGGGCATTGAAGAGTTACGTATTTATTGTAGTCTTCACTATCTGGGCTTTTTGTACACATCCTACTTGGGAAGGCATTCAAGATATTCAAAAGTACATGTGTGTTGTGATCTAAGCTGTGTCTACCTTAGGGGGCACACTAAGCCCAGTAATTCTGTAGTTCTTGAGACTCATTGAGGTACCGCCTTGATATTCTTGAACAAGATCTGGATGAATTCTACAGATTACCAGACAAAGATTCTTGTTCTCTTCCCTTACTTTCTCCCAAACAAATGAAATCTTTGTCTGTGTTCTGAGCCACTTGGAGATAAGAGTGGAGTTATACAAGCACCACCGTGGCAACCACCACTAAAAGTGCCCTGGTTCAGGCCTGCAGCTAGCACAACACTGAATCTCAGCCACGGCCTGCTGTAACCACTTCCTGACTACCACTCATGTTTGCTCAGGGCACTGCAGCTCTAAAATCAGCAGGTGACAAAGCCAGCCAGGCCTGTATCTTTCTCTTCGGGGTATCAAGGTCCCGTAGGCCCCAGGAAGGTCCAGAGGTGACATCTGGGAGCCAGGGACAAAAGTAAAAAACCTTAGAAATCTACCCGATATTCTGTTGTATTGCAGCTGAGCTGGCACTCAAACCACAAGATACTGTCTTTCCCACTCTCCCCTTCCCTTTCAAAAGCAGAGGAGCCTCACCCTATGGCCACGGCCAGCACATGCCCATGGGAAGTGTTGCCAGTCTACTGCTGATGTTCCCTCAAGGCCCAAGCGCTCTTCAGTCAGCTTGTGGGGAAGGCTCCTTGGCTTGGGACTCATCCTTCAGGACAGTGGGCTCCCCTCTGGCCCAGGGAAGGACCAGAAATGCTGCCCAAGAGCCAAGTCCGAGAATTGAGGAAACCAAGAGCCCACTTGGTGCTCTACCCTCCTAAGGCCTTGCTAATACCTAAAGTCCAAGACGAAGTCCCGTTTACTCTTTCCTCCACTTTTTTTTTTTAAAGCAGAAGGAGTTTCACCCCATAGCCACCACATGTGGGAATGTGCTGAGTCTCATCTGTGAGCCAGTAATCTCAGAGGCTCACCTAAGGTCCTCAACGTGGTACCTGGGTATCACTGCTGGTTATTCAGGGCTCAAGGGCCCTTCAGTTAGCAGGTGATGAATGCTTCCAGGATTGGGTTCTTCCCTTCATAATAACAGGTTCCCTTTTGGCCCAAGGAGTGTCTAGAAATGTCCACAATCTGGGGCCTGGAGCTAGGGGGTGGAGCAATGATTAGATCAATGATGAAATTCTCAAAGCTTTGGCACAGTGGTACTGATTAGTTGTAGCGATTTCTGATGACTCTGATTGGTGCCCTCTCCTGCTGTGGCTGAGCTGATTCCAAGATGCAAGAAAAAGTCCTCACTCTTTCTTATCTTCTCAAGTGGAGGGAAGGGGTTTTTTAGGAGCCACAAACTGTGCAGCCTGGGGCTAGGGGAGGGGTTCCAGCACCCCCTTACTTGCTCTGGCTGGTGTCTCAGTAGGTTGTGTCCCCCCATAGTCCACAGGCTCTGGGCCAGGTCAGCACTTGGACTCATTTAGGAGTTGTGGTCATTGTGGCCTGGTTTCTTTTTCTCATGTTTCTTTTAAGGCCCCAGAGCACTTTAGTCCATGGTGGAAAGGCTTGCAGGAACTCAAGTTCAGACGGCTGGGATTGGTAATTGCCCTCGGGCTAGTCTAAATGCTCCCTCCATGGATGGGCATCAGCTGAGTTTGGTCCAGCTTTGTTTTCTGCTCCAGCAGAGCAGCGCTGAGTTCAATGACTCACGATTGCTGTGCTCTCCCTCTCCCCAGAGCACAGAATTGCTCTCTGCACCATGCTGATGCTGCTGGGGAATGAGGCAAGGGTGCATTTGCAATTCACAATTGTTTTTCTATCTCTTCAGTGCTTCTTTCAGCAATATAAAGTTAAGGCCAGGTACAGTGAGTGCTCACCTGATTTTTGTTTGTATAAAGGTGCTTTTTGTGTGTAGGCAGTTATTAAATTGGTGTCCTTGCAGTGGGAACAATTGGGGGAGCCTTCTATTCTGCCGTCTTGTTCCTCCTCCTTCCAAATTTTGATTCCTTTAAAATAACATAACTGAGCTTATTATGCCTGTCATGATTCTCTTTTGTACATATAAAGTGTTTCCAGTTATGGCTACCTAATATTGTCATTGTCTATGTTTGCATTTTTTACTTTACAACTCATATCCTCTCTTTCTCTATATACACACACACATAAATATATATTTATGTACATATAAATATTTGTTACATTTATATATATGTGTGTATGTGCTAAAACTAAGATGTAGGCATTTTCACATGAGTAGTATCCCTTAAAAAAAACTAATAGAAGTTGCCATGTATATGAATAAGGAAATCTGAGGTGGATGGTGGAAGGCGCAGAGAGAGGCAATCTGAAATGGAAAAGAGTCAAGAATCCATTAAACCTTTAAGTCACATTGTTTCCTTTTCTTGGAACTAACATTGACACAAACTATTTTACATGCTGTTTCGTTTTCTTTAGGTTTTACGATTAAACACATTTAAAGCCCAGTTGATATCTCTACAGTTAAAAATTGAATGTGTATGTTATGATGTGTCACAAGATAAGTAGCAAAATATAACTAACAAAACTTAGCAGGCAAAAAAATAGAATGTTGGAAAACAGCACATATGCACGTGTTAATTTCATCTTTTAAACCAGGCATAGATTTATCATTTAAAGTTGATACATCGGTAATACAATATAATTTACATTCATATATATTACTATGAGAAGACTAAACAAAAATGATTCATAACCGTACACCTTATGCATCAAGAGAATGCAACCAGGCCGGTCACAGTGGCTCACGCCTATAATGCCAGCAGTTTCGGGGGCCGAGGCAGGCAGGTCGCCTGAGCTCAGGAGAATGAGAGCCACCCATCGAGTATAAAGTGATTTTCATCAACTTCATCTCTTATCATGTGTTCAAAAGGGTTTTGTAGCAATAGTTTCCATAAGTTGGATTTTTACACTAACCTGTTCATCAAGAGCCTGCCTGATATATTTTCTTAAAAGATTGTTTGGTACCTTTACTGAATTGGCAATTAAAAGTTTTTCTTAGTGACATTTAGTAAATGAGTGATGTTTATTGGGAAGCTGCTTAATGCAAGAGAAAAATGAAAAGATTAGATCATGACTATTGTTAAAGTGAGAAATTAAATGACCACATAAAAAACTTCTCTTCTCTTCCTTGGGTATTTTTCCAATATTACTCATTTGCCCTCTAGGGAAACAAACAACAGAGTTTTGTGATGAAACATGCATTAAACAGCTGTTCTCAAGCTGTTAATTAAAAACAAAACAAACAAACAAACTGCAGAGGAGGCAGCCCAGGCATTTGTTGTGGAACACATTCTCTGCTTGCCACTTACATGTTTTGAGTACAGTTTTCAGTACCCATCAGAACCAGTTTAGTTGATATTCCTTCTGGATTATTAGAAGGAGTTTTCTCCATGAGAAATCTCAGGATGTTTATGATGTCACATACTAGATTACTTAAACTCTTCCCTCTTTGGTTCCTGGAGCTGTGTGCACAGTGCTGAAGTATGACATCCATGCCTTCAGTTAAGTGGTCATCTTCAAATACCTCTAACTGGCACTCTCTTTTTTTTTTTGAAGCTTTTGCCTTTTAACCTGGATCTCCTCTCATCTTTTCAAGGAAAGATACTAATATGAAGACAGAAAAAAAGAAGATCAAGAAGGTTCCCTTTTATCTCTTGTTTCTAAGGTCTCACCTCTTGTGAAGTTGTTTGTAAACAATTTTGTCTTTACCTAATATTCCTCTCTCTGGATATATTATACCTGTAAGTGATCCACTATCATCAACTTATATCTCCATACTCACAGTAAGAAAGCCATTTGGCTCTCTTAGATAATGTGTGTGAGTAGGAGAAAAACAAATAGGGAAGTTCACTCATTTAAGATAATTCAGATATTTTGTGCATGTTCAGTTCCCACAAATGTGATATCTTCTAAGTTACAGGGAATTAGGTAAGATGATCAAAATAATTAAATCGAATGGGATTGGAAGGTAGGAATTTTGGTGGAGGTATGAGTAATTGGCATGTTTACTTTAAGAAGATTTGATTGAAGGAAATGAATTAAGCATAATCCAGGAGTACAGAGGTAAATACTTTTAACTGAACTAACAAAGGAAAGACTAGACAAAAACTTAGTTGTCAAAACTAAAAACATAGGTTACTGTTGAACTGTTCCTGAATACTGTCAAACTCTTCATTTAGCACACTTAAAAATACATTTTTCAGGGAAAAGTGGAACTTTTACAATTAAATGGAGTCACCAGTTGGGCATCAATAACCATGGAAACACTTGAGGAAGGCTGTACATTTTCTGTTGTTTCATCTATAAAATACCCACTCATGTATGTATTTAATTTTTTTAATTTTTAAATTTTTTTCAACTTTTATTTTAGATTCAGGTGGTACATGTGCAGGTTTGTTAGCTGGTAATATTTTGTGACGGTGAGGTTTGGGGTGTAAATGATCCCATCATACAGGCACCTAGCATATACCCAATAGTTAGTTTTTGATCCTTGCCCCTCTATCTTCCTTCTAGCAGTCTCTATTTTCTGTTGTTGCCATCTTTATGTCTATGAGTATATAAATGTTGAGCTCTTATTCATAAGTGCCACTCACTTATTTAAAACAAACATCACTTTCTTGAAAAAATGTTTAAAAATGGTCAACTACCCTGATAGCATTTTGATAGATTCAGTCACTCTTTTGTGAACTTATTTTATTGATTGCTTTTTGTGACCCATTTTGGACACACTAAGAGACAGTATCTGAAAGACAGGAACATTCTTGCTATCGTGTGATGGTTGGTTGGTCAGATGTTGTCAGTCTGGCTATGTTGAAAGCACGGGCATAACACTTCCTGTGAGGTTAGAAGGGACCAAGTGGCCTACATATTCCTATTGCCTTCTGGACTGCGTCATTAGCTTGCTTTCTTTTCCAAAGATCAGTTTTATTTGCATTTAAGTGGTCTTCAAAGTTAGCCACTTGTCACAATGCAATATCATAGAAGATATCAAAGCAAATCTTCTGTCATTTGTGCTCTCAAATTATTAGTATGAGTTTGAAATGGGAAAAGATAAAGTGTTCTAGGAGTAATCAATTGATGTATAGACCACCTAATACATACAAGGCTGTGCTAATGGCTGTTGATATAAGGACTATTTAGAGGATGACTCTACCCTCAAAGAGCTCATATTATATTTGAGGAGGCAGAAGCATGCAGCAAATAAAAACAACAAAGAGAGTTGTAGAAACAAGTTGAAGAGGTGTCATGAGGGCAAGGGCAGCATGGGGCTCGCCCCTGTCAGAGCGCGTCACAGAAAGACTCAAGATGTCTTCATTAAACTCTGGTAACCATCCGAGTGTGGTCCATCTTATTTGGAAAGGCATGAAATACAAAGTTCATAGTATGTGATGAGTAAAATAAATAATCAGATTCACGGATGCTCTGGTAAAGTGTATTCCTGATTCTTCAATCTCCATTCAGTTCAGCAAAATCTCCTGATTGCTCTACCTTGAGCTTCATTTCTGCCTTTGGGCGCATTTTTTTCCTATCCCAACCCAAAACTTTCCAGGCTGACTACACGTGATTATAATTTATCTATGCACATATATGTTTGTAAACAGGCAGTGCTATGTTTCCTACTTAAAAATATATTATGTATATCTTTACATGAAAAGACAACTAAGCTACACCATTATCAATGAGTATAATGTAAATTGAGCAATGTTTGATTTAGTCAACCCATTAATGTTGATCATTAAGATTGTTTCTAGTTTATTTTCACAATCAATGGCAATAATTTATTTAATGTCTTCATATATTATTCCCACTTCATACTATTTATTTCCTCAGAATAAACTGATGAAAATGGCTAAAAGATGGATTTTTTAAGTTTGCTAAATGCCAGACGCTTACAGAAAAAAATGGTTTCAATTTGTACTTACACTAGCAGTGTGTGATGTTCCCCGCTTCTTCACAATAAAAATCCTAATTTATTGTCATTACTTTAGCATTTTTTCAGAATACAAACAACATACCTTTTCATTAAAGAGACTCAAACATCATAAAAAAGTTTTCATAAAGAAATGTATTTATTTCTTGTACTTAAGTTTTTGAGCCACTTGATCTGGAGTGTGCGTTTTAAAGTCTTACTCTTTACCTCTAAGTTGCAATTTTGTTTTCTTCATATATATAAACTCTACCTTTCCCAGTTATCCGAATTCTCATCTTACTTGTGTGAAACATTTGCGCATATGTGGGTTTTTTTGTATTTTGGCGGGAGACAGCAGTGTTTATTTCCAGATACTCTTCCGTTTAGTTGTTGAGCCTTGTTTTTTCTATTCAGTTACTCATCCTTTACATTTCACACTGGTCCTACAGAGGTCAAAGTCAATTTTTAGCATTGTTTTTCCCCAGACAATTCATATGTGTTTGTCCTTTCAGATCAAATTTATAATCATTTTGACAAATTCCTCTAGAATAATTTTCTATTGCTTTTTAAATTAATACTGAATTATTTAGTTTTATAAATGTTCTCCAAAAGTTTAGCATATTACCAGTTATTTTACCATTTTTATTGTTATTATATAGAAATTTTTTTTGTGTCTGGGTGCGGTAGCTCATGTCTGTAATCCCAATACTTTGGGAGACCAAGACAGGAAGATTTCTTCAGGCCAGAAGTTCAAGACCAGCCTGGACAACATGGCAAGACCCTGTTTCTACAAAAAATACAAAAACATAAGCTGGATATGGTGGTCTGTGCCTATAGTCCCAGCTACGCAGGAGGCTGAGGTAGGACAATTGCTTGAGCCCAAAAGGTTGAGGCTACAATGAGCAGTGATCGTGCCACTGTGCTCCAGCCCGAGGAACAGAGCAAGTTCCTGTCTCAAAAAGGAAAAGAAAAAGAAAAAGAAATATTTTTGTTGATATGTTGTTGATATTATGAGTAACTACTTGTTCATATATGCTGGGGCATTTGACATTGTTATTAAAACCATAGGGGATTCCTGCAAGAAGTATAAGTGACCTGAGACCTGGGTCTACAGTAACCAGATGAAGAGAGAATTGTGCTCCAGGCAGAGAGAGCTCCTGAGTCAGGCTATTTTCTGGGAGAGAGGTGCCAGGAATTGACAGAGTGCTGCAGAGTAGAGAGCTGAGTATCCAGGTCACTTAGGGACATACAAACCACAATCAAAACTTGATCTTTAGCTCACAAACAACCAAGAATCTTTGAAGGGGGATAGAATGGGAAAAGAGGGAGTTTATATGAACAGGTTTGAAGATGTGTTGTTATTAATATACTTCTGAGTTCAATAATTAATATTCATTTGGGAAATATTTATATATGTGAACTTGGTTTATAATTATGAGAGTTTTCTGTCTTTTGAAGGCTATATATATTTATAAAATAAATGATTAATTAATTCCATTTTTTTGTGTACAAAGATTTTTAAATTTTCTGTCCTTAGAAGATTTTTATGGGATGTTTTCTGAACTAGGAATTTTGGGAAAGCAGAATTCCATTAAAACTTTTAAATTGTTCCAAATTTAGAGATCTTCTTTGGTATTTTCTTTTTTTTGATTTATTTTTATCATACTTTAAGTTCTAGGGTACATGTGCACAACGTGCAGGTTTATTACATATTTATACATGTGCCATGTTGGTGTGCTGCACCCGTTAACTCGTCATTTACATTGGGTATATCTCCTAATGCTGTCCCTCCCCCCACCTATATGTGTGTGTATGCATTATATCTACTTATAATTATATATGAATATTAAGAATTTTAACTGTATGTGTGTATGTATTATATCTACTTATAATTATATATGCATATTAAGAATTTTGACTATATTTGTGTGTATGCATTATATCTACTTATAACTATATATGCATATTATGTGTATGCATGCACTCATACAAAACTATACTTTAAAATCGTCTTCTTCATTAAAATTTCAAACTATATTAATATAATGTTAAAATAACTTCTCATACTATAAATATTTTATCACTCTTCTCATATCTGTAGTTGGATCATTTTTCTTACTTTTAATGATGTTTTGTGTCATCCTTTCTGCCCTCAAATATCATTAGCATGGCCAGAAATAGGTCTATTTTGTTTCAGTTTTAAAGAATCAACTTTAAATATTCAGTCTGCTTATTTTAAAATCCATTAATATCTATTTAAGTCTTTTATATGGTCTTTCTCTTATTTAAATGTATTTTGCAGATATTTTTCTAATGTATTGGGTTGAATCTTTATTAACATCACATATTTTTTCTATAAGAATTACATTATTAGAGGTTATAAAATTTTGTCTGGATACATCTTTAGCTATATCCTATAGGCTTCCATACATAATATATTTAATTTAATGAAAGTTTGAACTTCCTTTGGTCTAAGTAGTGTTTTAGGCATACGTTAAAGTATTTCAAATTCTCTGATTTAGATGTGAACCTATTATTATGATTTTAGAATTCTAATATATTTTAGTAAAAAAAAAAAAAGAGATTGTCCTATGGAAGCTAACTGAATATATTAAGCACATAATGCATTTCCATTTAAAATCCAAATTACAGAATTGTTCTCTTTGTTCCATTTATAATATCACCTCATATTGTAGTTTATATATACTATGTCATTCCTTTTTGCATTTTTTTAGTTTTCTTTTCCATTTTGTACATTTTGTTTTGTTTTCTTTGAAGAGTAAATCTACACTTTGAAAGCGGATGTTTACTCTGAATGATGTTGTAGCCATGATTAACCTAGTTGTTTCTATCTCATTTCATCATATGCTTCGCGTTAATTTCCTGTGCTGTTATGCCTTTTTTTCTTTCATTATTTTAAACCATTTTAATAGACACCCAAACACACATGTACACACATACAAACATTCTTTTAACTCATTTTAATACCAGTAACTGATTTGGTTAATCTTTTTCAAAATTGTTCTTATTCTTATAGTTGCCTCTGTGTTGGAGTCATAGGCTCCAGAAAAAAAAAAATGTATTTTTTTTTCTGGCTCATTTACTTAGAAAAAATGTTAGATTCTTCATAATTGTATATGTTTTTATTTATAATCAGCCCTTTGCCCTGTATGTTCCAAGAAAGAGGGAATATTGTTAATGGTATCTTCTGCTCCTAGAAAAATGTCTAGTGAATACTGGATCACAATAAATACTTGAATGTATAAATACATAAATGAATGAAAGCTGCTTTCTGGTACTTCTTAATTTTACATTCTATTTAAATAGAATTTGTTTTGCATGTATAGTATTAGCATTCCATTTTCAGACCCTGTTTTCTGTATAGACAGAGATAGGTATGTCTGTGTCTACAGATTAGATGTCATAGATATATATGTATCTATCTATTTCTACATATATATGTCTTTGTTGATAAGAATCTTTTGAGTTCTATGCAATAAGGCAATCATATTTACATTATTTTTAAATATATATATATTTAACCTGAATTCAACGTTTACTGTTAGTAATATTACAGTTTCTTCCCTTTTCTTAATTTTGTTTCATCTACAAAAATATTCAGCTGTATCTTACTGTTTATCCCCCCTAATTTATCTCAGAATGTCTTCCTGTTTGAGCCACACATTACTCTCAACTAAAATGTATCTAATGATATCGATAATAAGTTTTACTGAACAGATAGCACATTCTAGATACTAGTCTAAGAAACTGATGTGTGTGAATGATGTAAACTTTGAAACTTGGGCCCTTTCTATTATTACAGAGCAAATGGGGGAAATGGATACAAAAGTAATTTCAGTATCCGTGGCCACACAATTTGGTGGTGGAGAAAGGGTCAAACCCAAGGAAATTCTGGCTCCAGAGCTCTCTCTTTTTACTGCAACATTGTATATCTTCAGTTTAGACATTTTTTCACTTTTATTTGGAATTTATCAGGAAGACACCTGTGGTCAGTGTGAATTTTAGCCTGTGTAGGTGACTGTGTTTTCCTTTTCTTGTGTTTTGTTTGCATGCAACTATGTTTTTATTAGATGCTGCCAGATGCTTTTACTTCAAATAACTTTCCCAGACACACACAGTGTATTTATTAATGAAATGAAACATCCATATACAGAGTCTTTTTGTTCCTTTCCCAAGTTTTCCTTTTCAATTTTTATTAATAATTCTCTCCTATTTGTGAAATCACTCTTTTTAAAACACTGATTATTTATATTTTGCTTTTGTAATTCCAATACTCCATGTCTACCTTTCTTTCTTTCTTTTTTTTTTTTTTTAGATGGAGACTTGCTTTGTTGCCCAGGCTGGAGTTCAATGGTGCAATCTCAGCTCACTGCAACCCCTGCCTCCCTGGTTCAAGCGATCCTCCCACCTCAGCCTCCAGAGTAGCTGGGACTACAGGCACCCGCCATCATGCCTGGCTAACTTTTGTAGAGACAGGGTTTCACCATGTTGGCCAGGCTGGTCTTGAACTCCTGACCTCAGGTGATCCACCCACTTTGGCCTCCCAAAATGCTGGGATTACAGGGGTGAGCCACCGTGCCCGGCCCATGTCTATCTTTCTTACCATTTAATATCTGCCTTTCTGCATCCTGGAGAGCTACTCAAGTTTTATCCTCCACAACCCTAACAAAATTTTATGTCTTCAGCGCTCTTCTTTGCAGCCTTTCTTGTAACGTCTCATCCTGGAACTGTTTTTAATTGTCATGGGTAAAGCACCGCACTTGCCTGAGTGTGTTCACCCTCTCCTGAAGTGTTTCCTAGTGTTATCATCATGGAGAAAGCACTGCACTAGCCTGAGTGTGCTCATCCTATCCTAATGTGTTTCCTAGTGTTATCATCATGGAGAAAGCACTGCACTAGCCTGAGTGTGCTCATCCTATCCTGGTGTGTTTCCTAGTGTTATCATCATGGAGAAAGCACTGCACTAGCCTGAGTGTGTTCATCCTATCCTGAAGTGTATCCTAGTGTTATCATCATGGAGAAAGCACTGCACTAGCCTGAGTGTGCTCATCCTATCCTGATGTGTTTCCTAATGTTATTGTCATGGGTAAAGCACTGCACTAGCCTGAGTGTGCTCATCCTATCCTGATGTGTTTCCTAGTGTTATCATCATGGAGAAAGCACTGCACTAGCCTGAGTGTGCTCATCCTATCCTGATGTGTTTCCTAGTGTTATCATCATGGAGAAAGCACTGCACTAGCCTGAGTGTGCTCATCCTATCCTGGTGTGTTTCCTAGTGTTATCATCATGGAGAAAGCACTGCACTAGCCTGAGTGTGCTCATCCTCTCCTGAAGTGTTTCCTAATGTTATTGTCATGGGTAAAGCACTGCACTAGCCTGAGTGTGCTCATCCTATCCTGAAGTGTTTCCTAATGTTATTGTCATGGGTAAAGCACTGCACTAGCCTGAGTGTGCTCATCCTATCCTGATGTGTTTCCTAGTGTTATCGTCATGGAGAAAGCACTGCACTAGCCTGAGTGTGCTCATCCTATCCTGAAGTGTTTCCTAGTGTTATCATCATGGAGAAAGCACTGCACTAGCCTGAGTGTGCTCATCCTATCCTGATGTGTTTCCTAGTGTTATCATCATGGAGAAAGCACTGCACTAGCCTGAGTGTGCTCATCCTCTCCTGAAGTGTTTCCTAATGTTATTGTCATGGGTAAAGCACTGCACTAGCCTGAGTGTGCTCATCCTATCCTGAAGTGTTTCCTAATGTTATTGTCATGGGTAAAGCACTGCACTAGCCTGAGTGTGCTCATCCTATCCTGATGTGTTTCCTAGTGTTATCGTCATGGAGAAAGCACTGCACTAGCCTGAGTGTGCTCATCCTATCCTGAAGTGTTTCCTAGTGTTATCATCATGGAGAAAGCACTGCACTAGCCTGAGTGTGCTCATCCTATCCTGATGTGTTTCCTAGTGTTATCATCATGGAGAAAGCACTGCACTAGCCTGAGTGTGCTCATCCTCTCCTGAAGTGTTTCCTAATGTTATTGTCATGGGTAAAGCACTGCACTAGCCTGAGTGTGCTCATCCTATCCTGAAGTGTTTCCTAGTGTTATCATCATGGAGAAAGCACTGCACTAGCCTGAGTGTGTTCATCCTATCCTGAAGTGTTTCCTAGTGTTATCATCATGGGTAAAGCACTGCACTAGCCTGAGTGTGCTCATCCTATCCTGATGTGTTTCCTAGTGTTATTGTCATGGGTAAAGCACTGCACTAGCCTGAGTGTGCTCATCCTATCCTGAAGTGTTTCCTAGTGTTATCATCATGGAGAAAGCACTGCACTAGCCTGAGTGTGCTCATCCTCTCCTGAAGTGTTTCCTAATGTTATTGTCATGGGTAAAGCACTGCACTAGCCTGAGTGTGCTCATCCTATCCTGATGTGTTTCCTAGTGTTATCATCATGGAGAAAGCACTGCACTAGCCTGAGTGTGCTCATCCTATCCTGGTGTGTTTCCTAGTGTTATCATCATGGAGAAAGCACTGCACTAGCCTGAGTGTGCTCATCCTCTCCTGAAGTGTTTCCTAATGTTATTGTCATGGGTAAAGCACTGCACTACCCTGAGTGTGCTCATCCTATCCTGATGTGTTTCCTAGTGTTATCATCATGGAGAAAGCACTGCACTAGCCTGAGTGTGCTCATCCTATCCTGAAGTGTTTCCTAGTGTTATCATCATGGAGAAAGCACTGCACTAGCCTGAGTGTGTTCATCCTCTCCTGAAGTGCTCCCTAATGTTATCGTCTGTTTCTGCTCCCATTGACATTGCGGGAAGCTCCTTCTGATTCATCAGGTCCTCACGAGGAGCTCGTTAGATGAGATGCTACCCATTAGATGGAGGATCTGCATTTTGGGTGGACAGTGGACAGAATAAATCTTCAGCCCGTTTTTCCCCTCACCACCTGATCCACTCAGCCTCTTCTAAACCGGTAAGCAAAACTGTGCAGTTATGTTTGAATTTTTGTTGAAAGAGAAGGAAAAACTTAGAAAGGAAAAGTTTCGATTTCTTGTTAGCTAGCATTTTTCCTTGTGTCTGTGTATTTCTCACTTTCCTAAATGAAGTCTCCTGTTCACTGTGCTGAGAACACTCCTTCAAGAACCTCCTTTGTTGGTCTACTTGCAAAACTCTACCCTTTTTCTCCATAATTTCTTGGCTAGGGGAGGGTAAGAATGGGGAAAGCAGAGAAGCAGACCCTGCTGCAGAGAAAATCTGGCACAGAGACACACAGCCAATCCTTTTTCTGAGTGGTTCACGCCATGAGAGACCTTGTACATGTGCTGGCCAAAACCGAAGAGGCTTTTCTCTACTGAGGAGTCGCTAGGGTTCATCTTTTTCTAGTACTCAAGATTTTTAATTTTCAGTATAGATAAAAAATTGAATCGTTTCTGTGGTTTCGTGAGCATGTACTGAGAAGTTTGAAACAGGCCACCCTGGAGAATATGTAGACACTTGCAAATTATTTTTTAGGCCCTGTTGTTCATGTAATGCTATTACCTAACATCTTGATAGTCACTGTTTAATCTGAGAGTGAACTTAGGAAATGACAGTCTTCTTCCTGGAATCAGTTTTCCCAGAAACTAGTCTTTTACGAGTCCATATCTTTTGCTAAAAGATTCCTCTAATGGCAATTATTTGCATGATCAGGAAGAATGTTCTGAGATTTTATCATTTTAAATAACTCACAAGACAATGCACAAGCCTGCAGCCCTGCCTAGTTAGTGTTCAACAGGTGACACATAATTTTAGAGTGTGTCCCCTAGTGCTCAACAGGTGACACGTGCTTTTTAGAGTGTGTCTCCTATTGTTTGTGCCTGTGGTATACACACAGTAGCTAAGAAATGCAATATTGCCTTCGGCAAGATATTGTGTGTCCTCATTATCAGCATTCTCTCACAAGCGCAACAGCTTATCATAGATTAGCATTTGAATTTACTCAGCTGTGGTCCTTTGCATATGTTACATGACGTTTGATCATGACAACATCCCGTAAGTTTCCTGTGATATCCTAATTATAGATCAGGAAACGGGCTCTAAGTTTTTAAGTAATGTGCATTAGGGCACATTGCAAATGATGAAGCCAGAACCCCAAACAAGCATTCTCAGTGCAAGTATTTCAGAATTGAGCAACCCCCTACTCCAAAACGGTGTTCTGGAAGCTGGCTGCCGGCTCTGTGCACTTACTGCTACATCATCTGCCTCTCTGTCTGGTGTAACACCTGAGTGCACACAGAAGGGTCCAAGAATTCGAAATTCAAGTTGGATTTCAAAGAGTGTTAAACCTGATGAGGAAACTTTTAAAAGATATTCTTATATTCATCGTGTATTCAAGATGTGAATGCACCACCCATAGCTATCTAAGATTGTGTATGGTTTCCTGCCTCTGGCCTACAAGATCTTTTATGCATTTCCTTCAGTCACCATCTCCAAGGCTTACGACTGACCAACCAAATCAGGAAGTTTTGAGTGAAATGAGGAGGACATTAGGACAGAAAGCACAACCTGGTCTATCCCAGTCTAAGCCTTCAAGACCCACAAAAATACAACACTAAGCAAAAACAAAAAATGACTCAAATGTACCAAAGAGATAAAAAGAAAAAAACAGAAAGATCATAATGAACATGTTAAAGTTAAACTGTTACATGTTACAAACTGCAACTCAATTCTACTGATAACACTTAGAAAATAATTCTGTTCTCTTTACCCCGGCCTGCATACCTTGAAGAACTGATCACTAATATCTCACTGTCTTCATCACTTGCAATTCTCTTCCTGAACTGACTTTTGTTTCCTGACTATCCCAAACTCCTTTTTGCTTTAGGGATGTCACATTTGCTATTTATTTTGTAGGAACACCCTAGCCCTAAATCTTCACATGAATTTTCTTTTATCTTTCATTGTCTGTGTTGAAGTTTTCCGCAAAGCCCTTATTTGCATTACCTGGAACCATGGTTCCCACTTTTGATTTACTGTGCTTATTTCATAACTAGAATGTAAGTCACATGATTCATATTCTTTTTATTTACTACAGTATCCCCAGAGCTTAGAACACTGCACAGTACTCTCTCCATAAATAAAGATTAAGTGTGCAAATGGATGAGAAATTGACAAATGGTGAGGGAACACATAAGAATGACCAATGATCAGGCAGATAATGTAATCATGTTTATTACAGTTCAACATAGTTTTCAGTTGTGTCTACAATTTATGGTTATTTCTGGATGAGACCAATAGGTTTTAAAATTATCACAGAAATTCCCAATTTGAGCCAATGGCCTATTGAATTATTTTATTGGGTTGTTTGAATTGATTGGATCAATAGTCTTTCAGTTGTATCCACATTTTAAGTAAATGGAGCCAACTCCAAATGAAGGATCCTCTCTAGGGCCCAGATTTTCTTCAATCATAATGAAACTCCCTTAAGCCAAGTATCAATTGCCAAACATTCATTCATCTTCATCCCATGGGGTCCTAATGTTGAAATTATTCTTCATCAAAAAGAAATAGCCAAGAAAAAGGAAGCTACAAATCTACCACACCAAAAAAAGTTTTATATTAGCTACATAAAAGATTTTAATCTAATAATGTTTACACAGACATGTTTAAGTGATTTATCTTTTGTCATTTTCATTGACCCTGCTTCTCTTCTTATGCCTCCATTTCAAACTCAGTACCATGAATGAAAACAATGAAACCTTGACCAGAGGCTTTACCCTCATGGGGCTCTTCACTCACAATAAATGCTCAGGATTCTTTTTCGGTGTCATTTGTGCCGTCTTCTTCATGGCCATGATAGCTAATGGGGTCATGATCTTCCTGATTAACATAGACCCTCATCTCCACACCCCCATGTACTTCCTCCTCAGCCACCTCTCCGTCATTGACACATTATACATCTCCACCATTGTGCCCAAGATGCTGGTAGATTATCTCATGGGCGAGGGGACCATCTCTTTCATCGCCTGCACTGCTCAGTGCTTTCTCTACATGGGCTTTATGGGGGCTGAATTCTTCCTGCTGGGGCTCATGGCCTATGACCGCTACGTGGCCATCTGCAACCCACTGCGCTATCCTGTCCTCATCAGCTGGCGGGTCTGCTGGATGATCCTGGCCAGCTCTTGGTTCGGTGGGGCTTTGGACAGTTTTCTCCTCACCCCCATTACCATGAGTCTCCCGTTCTGTGCCTCTCACCAAATCAATCACTTTTTCTGTGAGGCACCCACCATGCTGAGGCTGGCCTGTGGGGACAAAACCACCTATGAAACAGTGATGTATGTGTGCTGCGTTGCAATGCTGCTGATCCCCTTCTCGGTGGTGACTGCATCCTACACCAGGATTCTCATCACAGTGCATCAGATGACATCGGCTGAAGGGAGGAAGAAGGCCTTTGCCACCTGCTCTTCACACATGATGGTGGTGACATTGTTCTATGGGGCTGCCTTGTATACGTATACGCTTCCCCAATCTTACCACACCCCAATCAAAGATAAGGTCTTCTCTGCCTTTTATACCATCCTCACACCCTTATTAAACCCTCTCATCTACAGTCTGAGGAACAGGGATGTGATGGGTGCCTTGAAGAGAGTTGTGGCAAGATGTTAGGGGACATGTGGTGTGATGAGGAAAGAATTCTGATGGTCTAAAACCTCCACATCCTGTTCAGGCATATATGGGGTCGTATCATGGATACCACGGATGATGCTGACAGGAACTTTCAATACCAGCTGTGCTAAATGGTGTATCAACAGTACCCCCATCAAAAATGGGAAGTTGCTGTAACAGTCACACACAAATAATGCCAGAGTTCTAGAAACACCACTCATGTTTATTCTTCTTTTGTTTCTACTGATTCCAAGTCTTCTCTCATATCACTTCTCTGATTGCAGTTTGTGTATATGAATGCCCCAAAATGTTGAGTTAATATTACATATTCTGCCCATTTTCAATGGCTCCATAAGAACTGGTGATTTTGACTATATTGTTTAAACAATCCATCAATTGGCTTGTCAAAGATTTAGGGATGCCAAGGTTTGAAAGACATATGAAAGAGACTAAACTGTCATAAAACTGTAAAAGAAAAATCTACATAGACTTACACCAAGATTTAGAAAATCCAAATATCTCTTCTTTGAGTAACCACTGAAAACACTCCTCCTTTATCTACATTTGGAGCTAAAAAAAAATGAATCATGTGTTTTGTAGAAATGCCAAGACTAAATCTTTATGGGGGAGGGAGTCTGTAATGTTAGTTTTTTAATATGGTAACTAACTGTTACATTGGAAGACACAGCAAAAGGTAGTTGAGAAAGAAATGCCCTATTAACTAGCAGTTTCTGTAATCACTTTACAGCTTCTTCTCCAATTCACTAGCATTTTTAAACTTTTGGGATCCCTGTGCAGATGTTAGTGTTGTTGGAGCTATTTCTACCAACTTTTCTCTTTTAAAAAAGTAGTAGACAGCGTCATATTTTTCCTTCTCTATAGCACTGGCTTTTGCATTGGATAGCATTGCAAAGTGGGAAGGAAATACCCAGCTTTTCATGTGAAAATTAGAACTGGAAACCCTTGTAAATGACTTAGTGTCATGAGCGGTGCAAAGTTAGAAATAACCAGGACCACAAATGCTTGTGTCTTTCCACAATGTCAGGATTTTATTGATGCTGTTTCAATCACAAAAGCCACCATGAGCTACATAGAGTTCCCAAGGGGGCAACTCTCCTTAGTACTTTTCATTCACTTGGTAGTCAGCGTTGTGGGCACACAGACTCAAGCCACTCCACAAGTCAGTCAATATTGCAAACCATACATAATAGTATACTTAATCAATATGTAAATGTTATAGGTTTAACATTTCACAACAAACAAACTAACATTTAACACAAGAAGGAAAAGGGATAGGAGAAAGGATCACAAACCAGTCCAAGGGGAGAGAAGAAGAGAAAAGCGGTCCTGGTCCAGGCCGGGTGGTCCACTGGTCTTGCAAGAAAGAGTCTCTGAGGTGGCAGAGACTTCAGCAGCAGATGCCAAGTTTTCATCACCAGTGACTGCAAGATGGCATCAGTTAACATGGCTATTTCGAGCTGCTGAAGGCCTGCTCTTTTACGGTTACAGAGTCCTCCCATGAGAACTGATCATGGAAGAGTGTGCTTGTTTGAGTCCTTATCTGGTTGGATACAGTCTTTTATTTTTTAATTTGTTTAGTAGACAACACATCTTATCCTTGTTGGAAAAGTGCTCTATGAAATATAAAATAAAGTCTTTTTCTAAGATGGAGTTGGCTACGTCAAGGGTGTTCTATACACTTAGTATGATTTCTTTTTAAGTGGCTAAGAACTGGAGAAAAAATGTTTGGCCTAAACTGTAGACACAGTAGTAAAAACCAGGACCACATCCCAAACCCCTCAGGCCACCTCTACAAGCTGCTGTGCCAGGCTTTGTACTGTCATTGGTTTAACAAAATCCAAGCCGGGTTCAGTGACGTTCTGCAGCGACTGAAGATGGTGGGTGAATGAAAGATAGCCACACCTCCTTTTGTACTGAAAAAAGCTGCTGGGTATTTGACAAAATATTTAGCCAAATAGAACAGCTCAACTTGGCATTGGGCTGAGCACTTAATCAAGAAAATAGACCAGGTCTTGCCTAACAGAGCAGGGTTTTCAGTTGAAATCCAGGAACAGCTTTTCCGAGGCTCTTCAGCTGGAGGCTCAACATCTCCTCAATCTTGTCAGACTGTCTTGGACAACAGTATGTGCCAGATAATATGAGGGAGCATTTCCAACCAAGAAGATGTTGAGGTACAAAAAACACAACAAATCAGAAGAGAAGGAGAGGGCTGGCCCATAAGAACTGATCATCAGTTTCAGCTCCACGTAAACACCATGTGAATTTCTGTCAATCATACAATGCTTCTGAGGACCAACTTTCTTTTTTATAAAATTTGACTTAATACATACTTTTTTTCTTGTAAGATTTTAAAATCAAGTAAAATGATGAATGTAATAAAACCTTATAAATGCTAGTCATTATTTCAGCTATTCTTTGAAAAGATGATTGACTTTTATATTCAGTTTTTACAATTTCTTTCATTTCTATCGATCCGTTACAGACAAAAGCACACTCTCTTGTACAGCCACTTTGGAATACAGTTTGACAGTTTCTTACAATATTGAACATAATCTTATCATATGATCTGGCAATTGTGTTTCTTGGTGTTAACTCTGCTGATTTGGAAACTTATGTTCACAGTAGATTTTTCATACATTCCAAAACATAGACTTAATCAGAAAGTCCTTCAGAAATTAAATGGATAAAGTGTGGCACATGCATACAGTGGAATATTATTTAGTGTTAAAAATAAATGATTTATCAAGCCATTGGAAGACATGGAGGAAATTTAAATGTATATTGTGAAGTGAAAGAAGCCAATCTGAAAAGGCTGCATACTGTGTGATTCCAGCTGCATGACATCCTGGAAAAAACAAAACTGTGGATACAGGAAAAAGATAAGTGTTGCAAGGGGTCTGGGGGAAGTATGGATGGATGGACAGAGCACAGAGGACTTTTAGAGCAGTGAAACTATTGTATATGACACAGTAATTAATGTTACATAAGATTATGCTACATGGTACTATGTATTTGTGGAAAAAAACATACAACTCTGGAACAGAAAGACTCATCCTTATGTAAAATATGAACTATTAATAATAATGTATCAAAATTGATTCATCTATTGTAACAAATGTACTACACTAATGCCAGATGTTAACAATAGGGAAAAGAGAGGGGATATATAAAAACTTTCTGAACTATCCATTCAATTTTTTGGTAAACCTCATTGTTCTAAAATATAAAATTTCATTTTAAAACAGTTTTCTAACAATTATATAACTCTCTGATACTATATTTCTTGATTGGATTTCAGTCAATAAATCATTAGGAGTTCTCATCAAAGAATTGTGGTGTTTGTAGAAGTTAGGATGGGGGATGGGGATGAAATAATAAAAGTTTGTTAATCTAATTGGTCTTGTTTTGGGAGTTTGGTTATATGTTGTTTTGAAGACGCGGGAGCAGTGAGGCTAATATTTCCTGGAAAGTTAGAAGAACATGGGCCAAATATTAATTAGTTTTATGCTTGGGGCATATGGTAGGAGCCCCTCATTCCAAGTTAGCATTCCTTCCCTGTTCTGCATATATAAGAAAATACTGGAAATGCATCATCTGTATATGGAAGAGGGGGGGAAATGTCTATATTACCTCACACCAGAAAACCAAAACCTATTAAAAGAGGGATGCTGCTTCAGGAGAAGGCCTTTTTAGAGTGAGTGAATTTTTTTTAAAGAATTTGATTATTCATGACCCATCATTGGGAATTTCATCTCGAGTTCAGATATTCAGCCTTTGATGGAATGTGAAGCCACTTGTGGGCCATTTGGCCATCCCTGCAGGAAAATCAGTTCAAAACTCAGCCTGACTCTGCGGGAAACCTCTTAGAAACATGTGCTTCCCCTGGTTGGAACCAGCTAGCAAAATGCATAATTTGTGCTCAAAGAAGAATTAGTAATGGCTAGAAGAGAGATTAATTTTTCTTTTAGCTCTCCTAGTAACTCAGTCTACCATTTGGATGACTCTGTTGCCTTAGCCTGAGTTTCTACTTAAGTGAATAGGGAATACTCTCCTAGATATGGTTGTTGATTCCCTCAGAACAAAATTAACACGGCAACTATCAAGTCATGCACAACCCTTTTGGAAACTTGAGGAAGAACGTGAGCAACATTTCTAAAGGTTTTTGTCACTATTCTGAAATTCATAATGTCATAAATATATGTCATTTTATTACTAGACTTTAGAAATATGTAGGCGTTGTGTAGCACAGAGTGATTTTTGATATGAATTGATGTTCTCAAGAAGTCAATGGTTTTACATTAAAAAATGCAGGACTGTGCATGGGAAGGAGTGTAGGTGGAATGATTGGGGACCATAGAGCAACAGGAGTCTGGCGCCTTCTAGGACCTATCCAGAGATATTCAGCCTGACAAGCATCAGGCATTCACAATGATGCTCAAATGAAATGTGAAGAATTATTAATGCAGGAGAAGAATTCAAGGTAGTTTTGTCAAACTGATGAGTTTTTGGTACATGCTAGTTGCAAAGATCACTGCTAGGTTTTTGGATTGCTGTGCTGAGGATTTTTCTGAGGTCACATGTAGGCCCTGTGGGAAGAGTGATGTAAACTAATTAGCCAGGATGGACACAGGTGGGTGCCTCGGGATGAGTTCTAGGACGTGGGGTGCCACATTGGCTGTAGTCAGCTCTTACCCCCAAGTGCCATCTAATGGTTTATAGCATAGCAGTTGCACAGCAAGAAGAAATAAAAAGCATCTAAATAAGGAAAAGAAGAAGGCAAACTATGTCTGTTTGCTGATAATATGATTCAATACCCCCCAAAAACCAAAAGACTTTGCCAAAAGATTCCTGGAACTGAGAAACAACTTCAAGTAAAGACTCAGGATACAAAATTAATATACAAAATTCAGTGACATTTCTAAACACCAAAAACATTCAAGCTGAGATCCAAATCAAGAACTCAATTCAATTTACAACAGCCACAAAAATAAAAAATCTAGGAATGCAGTTAGCCACAGAGGTGAAAGATCTCTGCTAGGAGAACCACAAAACACTGCTGAAAGAAAGTAAATAAGACTCAAACAAACAGATAAACATTCCATGCTCACTGGTTGGAAGAATTAATCTCATTAAAGTGGCCCAAGGAAATCTACAGATTTAATGTTATTCAGAAAAAACTACAGACTTTATTTTTCACAGAATTAGAGGCAACTATTATAAAATTAAGATGAAACAAAAAAAGAGACCAAAAAGCCAAAGTAACCCTAAGCAAAAAGAATAATGCTAAAGATATCACAATACCTGGCTTCAAACTATACTATAATGTTCCAGTAACCAAAGCAGATGGTACTGGTATAAAAACAGACACATAGACCAAATTGAATCAAATAGAGAACAAATAAATAAAGCCACAGACCTCCACCCTGTTTATCTTTGACAAAGTTGACAAAAGCAAGCAATGGGGAAAGGACTCCCTACCTAATAAATGGTGCTGTAATAGCTGGATAGCCATATGCAGAAGAATGAAAGTGGACCCCTGCCTTTCACTATATACAAAAATTAAATCATGATGAAATAAAGATTTAAATGTAATAACTCAAACTAAGAAGCCTAGAAGGAAGCCTACAAAACCCCATTCTGAACATTGGCCATGGGAAATAATGTATGACTAAATCCTCAAAAGCAATTGCAAGCAAAACAAAAATTGACAAGAGGGACCTAATTAAACTAAAGAGCTTTTGCACAGCAAAAGAAACTATCAACTGGGTAAGCAAACAACCTATAGAAAGGGATAAAATAGATTTTCTAGTTTATTTGCATAGAGATGTTTATAGTATTCTCTGATGGTAGTTTGTACTTCTGTGAGATCAGTGGTGATATTCCCTTTATCATATTTTACTGTGTCTATTTGATTCTTCTCTCTTTTCTTCTTTATTAGTCTGCCTAGCATTCTATCTGTTTTGTTAATCTTTTCAAAAAACCAGCTCCTGGATTCACTGAATTTTTGAAGGGATTTTTTGTGTCTCTATCTCCTTCAATTCTGCTCTGATCTTAGTTATTTCTTGTCTTCTGCTAGCTTTTGAATTTGTTTGCTCCTGCTTCTCTAGTTCTTTTAATTGTGATGTTAGGGTGTCAATTTTATATCTTTCCCACTTTCTCCTGTGGGCATTTAGTGCTATAAATTTACCTCTAAACACTGCTTTAGCTGTGTTCCAGAGATTCTGGTACATTGTGTCTTTGTTCGCATTGGTTTCAAATAACTTACTTATTTCTGCCTTTATTTCATTAATTACCCAGTGGTCATTCAGAAGCAGGTTGTTCAGTTTCCATGTGGTTGTGTGGTTTTGAGTGAGTTTTGTAATCCTGAGTTCTAATCTGATTGCACTGTGGTCTGAGAGACTGTTACGATTTTCATTCTTTTGCATTTGCTGAGGAGTGTTTTACTTCCAATTATGTGGTTGATTTTAGAGTAAGTGTTATGTGGTGCTGAGAAGAATGTATATTCTGTTGATTTGGGGTGGAGAGTTCTGTAAATGTCTATTAGGTCTGCTTGGTCCAGAGCTAAGTGCAAGTCCTGAATATCCTTGTTAATTTTCTATCTCATTGATCTGTCTAATATTGACAGTGGGGTGTTAAAGTCTCCCACTATTATTGTGTGGGAGTTTAAGTCTCTTTGTAGGTCTCTAAGAACTTGCTTTATGAATCAGAGTGCTCCTGTATTGGGTGCATATATATTTAGGATGGTTAGCTCTGCTTATTGCATTGATCCCTTTACCATTATGTAATGTCCTTCTTTGTCTTTTTTGATCTTTGTTGGTTTGAAGTCTGTTTAATCAGAGACTAGGATTGTAAACCCTGAATTTTTTTTTTTTTTTTTTTTTTTTGCTTTCCATTTGCTTGGTAAATCTTCCTCCATCCATTTATTTTGAGCCTATGTATGTCTTTGCACATGAGATGGGTCTCCTGAATACAGCACACTGATGGGTCTTTACTCTATCCAATTTGCCAGTCTGGGCCTTTTAATTGGGGCATTTAGCCCATTTACATTTAAGGTTAATATTGTTATGTGTGAATTTGATCCTGTCATTATGATGTAAGCTGGTTATTTTGCCCATTAGTTAATGCAGTTTCTTCATAGTGTCAATGGCCTTTACATTTTTGTTTGTTTGGGCAGTGGCTGGTACAGGTTTTTCTTTTTCATATTTAGTGCTTCCTTCAGGAGCTCTTGTAAGGCCGGCGTGGTAGTGACAAAATCTCTCAGCATTTGCTTGTCTGTAAAGGATTTTATTTCTCCTTCACATATGAAGCTTAGTTTGGCTGGATATGAAATTCTGGGTTGAAAATTTTTTGATTTAAGAATGTTGAATATTGACCCACACTCTCTTCTGGTTTGTAGGGTTTCTGCAGAGAGATCCACTCCTAGTCTGATGGGCTTCCTTTTGTGGGTAACCCGATCTTTCTCTCTGGCTGCCCTTAACATTTTTTCCTTCATTTCAACCTTGGAGACTCTGACAATTACATGTCTTGGGGTTGCTCAATCATCTAATCTTTGACAAATCTGACAGAAACAAGCAATAGAGAAAGGATTCCCTATTTAATAAATGGTGTTAGGAAAACTAGCTAGCCATATGCAGAAAATTGAAACTGGATCCCTTCCTTACACCTTATACAAAAATTAACTCAAGATGAATTACAGATTTAAATGTAAGACCTAAAACCATAAAAACCTTAGAAGAAAACCTAGGCAATACCATTTAGGACATAGGCGTGAGCAAACACTTCATGACTAAAACACCAAAACCAATTGCAACAAAAGCAAAAATTGACAAATGGGATCTAATTAAATTAAAGAGCTTCTGCACAGCAAAAGAAACTATCCTGAGAGTGAACAGGCAACCAATAGAATGGGAGAAAATGTTTGCAATCTATCCATCTGACAAAGGGCTAATATCCAGAATCTACAAGGAACTTAAACAAATGTACAAGAGAAAAACAAACAACCCCATCAGAAAGTGGGCAAAGGATATGAACGGACACTTTTCAAAAGAAGACATTTATATGGCCAACAAACATATAATAAAATGCTCATCATCACTGGTCATTAGAGAAATGCAAATCAAAACCACTGTGAGATACCATCTCACACCAGTTAGAATGGTAATCATCAAAAAGTCAGGACACAACAGATGCTGGAGAGGATATGGAGAAATAGGAACACTTTTACACTGTTGGTGGGAATGTAAATTAGTTCAACCATTGTGGAAGACAGTGTGGCAATTCCTCAAGGATCTAGGACTAGAAATACCATTTGACCCAGCAATCTCATTACTGGGTATATACCCAAAGGATTATAAATCATTCTACTATAAGGACACATGCACACGTATGTTTATTGCAGTACTATTCACAATAGCAAAGACTTGGAACCAACACAAATGCCTGTCAATGTCAGACTAGATAAAGAAAATGTGGCAGATATATGCCATGGAATACTATGTAGCCATTTAAAAAAATGAGTCAATGTCCTTTGCAGGGACATGGATGAAGTTGGAAACCATCATTCTCAGCACACTAACACAGGAACAGAAAACCAAATGCCACATGTTCCCACTCATAAGTGGAAGTTGAACAATGAGAACATATGGGCACAGGGAGTGGAACATCACACACTGGGGCCTGTTGAAGTGTGGGGGGCAAGGGGAGAGAGAGCATCAGGAGAAATACTTAATGTAGATGATGGGTTGATGGGTGCAGCAAACCACCATGGCATATGTATACTTATGTAACAAACCTGCACATTCTGCACATGTACCCCAGAACTTAAAGTATAATTTTAAAAATTCGTTTAATCCAAAAAAGAAAGGGATAAAATATTCACAAACTGTGTATGCCAAAATGGTCTAAGATCTGCAGTATATAAGGAACTTAAATAATTCAACAAGCAAAAACAAACACCGCCATTAAAAAGTGGCCAATACCATGAATAAACACTTCTCAAAATAACACATATAATTGGCCACAAACATGAAAAAATGTTCAACATCACTAATCATCATAGAAATGCAAATCAAATCACAATGAGATACCATCTCATACCAGTCAAAATGGTCATTATTAAAAAGCCAAAAACAACAGATGCTGCTGAGGTTGTGGAGAAAAGGTAATGTTTATACACTGTTGGTGGGAATGTAAATCAATTCAGCCAATGTAGAAAACAGTTTGTAGGTTTTTCAAAGAACTTAAAACAGAGCTACCATTTGACCCAGTAATCCCATTACTGGGTATATACCCAAAGAAAAATAGATCATTATGCCAAAAAGACCCATGTACTTATATATTCAACACCATGCTATTCACAATAGCAAGACATGGAATCAACCTAGTTGCCCATCAATGGTAGATTGGATAAAGAAAATGTGGCAAAAAAAAAAAAAAAAAAGAAAATGTGGCACATATACACCACGAAATACTATGAAGCCATTAAAAAAGTATGAAATCCTGTCCTTTGCAGCAATATGGATAGAGCCAGAAGCCATCATCCCACGTGAATTACCACAGGAACAGAAAGCCAAATACTGGATGTTCCTACTCACAGATGGGAGCTAAACATTGAACACCTGGCCACAAAGATGGCAACCATTACATCCTAGAGGTGGGAGGAAGGGAGGGGGTAGGTGTTGAAAAACTGCTGGGTACCATGCTCACTACTTGAGTGATGGGATCATTTATAATCCAAACCTCAGCATCACACAATACACTCAGGCACATGTACGCCATGAATCTCAAATAAAGTGGAATGAATAAATAAATAAATAAAATGATTTTTTCAAAAGAAGTTAAATAAATGAATAGTAAAAATATAAAAGTTGGCCGAGTGCAGTGGTGCATGCCTGTAATTCCCACACTTTGGGAGGCCAAGGCATATGGATCACCTGAGGTCAGGAGCTCGAGGCCAGCCTGTCCAACATGGTGAAACCCCATCACTACTGAAAATACAAGATTAGCCAGGCGTGGTGGTGTATGCCTGTAGTCCCAGCTACTCGGGAGGCTGAGACAGGAAAATCACTTGAACCCTGGAGGTGGAGGCTGCAGTGAGCCAAGATCATGCCACTGCACTCCAGCCTGGGCAAGACAGAGTGAGACTCTTGTCTCAAAAAAAAAAAAAAAAAAAGTTGAAGTTAAAAAAATTAATTAACCTTTCTAGGAAAAACAACAGAAAACATTAAATCTAGTCCTTTTACATCAGAATTTCCAGATCTGTGTGTTTGTGTTTATTTATTTATAGATAGATGAAATGATTGATATATAGATGTGAATTGATAATATAAAAAATGATAATATTTTTGAGGTGCAACTTAACAAAATCAAAACTTTAAAAATATTCACACAAATGAATTAAATAATATTGACTGAGGAAAAGTCGATGAAGAAAACTTCCAAAATCTATACTCAAATTAGACATAAGGATTTAATCAGCACATTATTTTTTAGTCCCCTGAATTAAAACTGTATGTATGTTATAAAAATGGAGCATTAATTAAATAATATTGAGCATATCCATAAAGTATAGTACTTTGTGGATAGTGCATGCTACGTTTGGGAGAATATTTCACATCGGGGCACTTTTTATGTTGTATTTTGTGAACAATGCAAATTGTGGAATTACATGTTAACCCACAGACACTCATCACACACACATATATGTTGTTGTGTAAATGCCATATCTATTTATAGTGTTTAAGTTTCTGCATGTGTCTCTCTGTTGGTTCTCTACCTCTTGTTTAGTTACATAAAGCTCTTGTAGTTTACTGGTACATACACACACATACCCACGAACATACACACAAACAAACACATACAGTATAAATGCAATTTTGTAAGGATAATCATCTCTATGATGTGTTTTCGATAACCCTATCTGGTATTATGTTTTTCCCGATGGGTATGCGTTACCTTTATGCTCAAATAAAATAATAATTATTAAACTACCAACAAACATAACAGATGTTATGTTATTAAAATATAATAGAAATAAAGCTACTTTTTATCTTTTTAATGGCTTTCCACATTTGTTCCCACATTTCTCTGTGAGGAAGAGCTGCTGGCAGAACTTTCTGATGAAACACTCAGGAAATCAGTTTTACACTTTGAAGCACAGGAGTTGAAACATGTTCTCAAAGCCCATGTCACTTAAATGTTCACTGTTTTCCACCCCATCAATACACTTCTCATTAGCTGTAATAAGTCCGTCTCATTAAAGTCTCCTGAGATCCAAAAGGAAGAAACTTGCTCTTTCCCAGAGCACTTCATTCCATGTCCCTCAAAGAAAACTATTTAAACTCATGCCTCTTTTCAATCTGGGCGCTCCCTTGTCGCTCCAGGGATCTCAAAAGCAGAACACCCAGAATAATTCGGCACTCTTTACTGGTCTGCTGCTTTCTTCCTGCATTTTTAGTTTTTCAGACCTGTTTAGTTGCTAAATATTTCCCTGTAAAGATAAGAAATAGACATTATTACATGTTTCTAGAAGGCTGGAGAATTTATGCAATTTGTCCTGGCAATGCAAATTGTTTCAAGGATTTCTAAGGTGGCATTTATTTGTTTGGCTTAATAATACTTCCTTCTGCAGAGTTATATTACAAAAATAGCTCCTAATAAACTTGTTGCATGTCTCTCTTTGTCCTAACTCCATCATCAGTTGCTAAGGATACCTTCAGTCATGCCAAGTTCATAAATCCAAATTAGAAATCTATGCATACTGGATCTTCAGGGTAACATGCTGACAGCACTTTGGCATCCAGATGGCCTAGATGTTGAAGGATTTCCTGTTGTGGGTACCAATGACTATGAATTGCTTTGTGTGTTTTCTTCTTGGTATAAGTTAGATGAGAATTTAAGTCTACTAAATCTAATCATTTTTCCTTCTAGCAAAATATCACCTTCAACCTTCTAAAAAGTCTTAGTTCTTCATCGCTTGTTTAGTTACATAAAGTTGTTGTAGTTTGCCAGTAAGTTTTTGATTTACTAAATTATACATAACCTTCTCTATCTACTACTCTGAATGGCTATCCTGACAGATTCAGCTCTCTGTAAGTGACAGATAATCATCTTTTGTTGGAATACAGTTTGGAATAAAATTAGATATTTGGATAATTTTTATGAAAATTATGTATATTGTATTCCTTGATGTCTACTTAGTGATGTGTGTCACATGCTGTTTTGAGTGGGTGGCATTCAGATTGCATGGATGAGAGGAGATATGAGAAATGTGAGAACATATAGAACACATGAATACATTACTTTATGAAGCTCTTTGAAAATTAAATAATTGGATTTAATAGTTAAGGTTTTGTCTAAATGATGCAACATCCCTCAGTAAAATTAGGCAATTAAAATGGATCATCTAGGAGCTTCTGCTGTACTTAGACTCACTTTGTTTGTTCCACTCTTCCTATTCCCTTAATGAAAATCCAGGTCTTTTGGAATTATGCAGGAATTTCACAGGTAAGAAGTCAAATGCTGATGAGCACCTAGACTGACTCCTCCTCATAGTAGCACTTTAAATATTTGGTGCATATGCAAATGACCGGGTTGCCAGAACATTTCATTGTGGTCTGACTGAATTTACGTTCTTTATATGACATAAACAAGATTTACGTAAACTGGATCTAAGAAAGTTGAGGCAGAGTTGTCTGCAACTCCTGGGCTGGAAATCTCAGGCACAAGTATAATGAGGAATGACTGTCCCATTCCCTCCATGCCAAATGCAAGTGCATTGAGAAAAAGAGTGCCTGTCTGATTATCTGTGGGAATTACATGGAGTGAGTGTTGTAAATCTCAGGTAGAAGGATGCCATTGAGTGTAACAGTGCAAAGAATCTTTTCTTAAATGTTTGCTGCTTTTCTTAAAAAAATAATTTAAGCAAACTTTAGTCTTATGAATTAGATAGGATAAGGACAATACTGTTCGAAAGGCACAAAAGATCTAAAGGAAAAACCTGTACTTACTCCTAGTTTCTAAAGTACAGACTATGAACCAGGCTTCCTGAATCTCTGAACAGTGCATTGTCTTTATCTCCTTCCCCTCGTTTTACAGATAAGAACACTGATGATTGGAGAGTTGAAGATGCTTGCATTAAAGACACAGAGCTGACGTAAGGCAGACTCCTACAGGCATTCTAATTTCCAACATAGACTCGTTGCCTGACTGTCAAACGTGCAAGCATTTTAAAAATCCTTTTTTCCACAATGATTTCAAAGAATGTGCAGACACCTGGATTTCTCAGATCCACTTTGCCAGTGATTCACAGGCATTTTTTTAGTGTCCATCACACCAAGCATAAAATAAACTCTCATCAGAAATAACAGGTCTCTCTAGTAGAGGGGTTTATTCTAGTGTGTAGTCTCTTTATGGGTCTTGTAGGAGGTGTGTGTGGGTTGAAGAATGTGGTTCTAAGTTACTCTAAAATTGTCAGAGTACATTAGTGCTTTATTATCTAATAATTGTATGATTATTATTTCAATATGAGTTCATTCTTAATGATTCCAACTTTTTGAAATACTAAACAGAATTTAGGAACACGGAGAAAAACTAGGAACATATATTTTTGTATTTAGTCTCAAAATTGCACAGCACTGTATTGACCTGTCTTGAGAACTTCTCATGTGAAAAGGTAACTGTAAGTTTGAATGTGTATGTAATGACTCAATGTGTCTGCGATAACAACAGAAAAGTAATATTGCCAGTGTATTCTGTACAGGAAAAACCACACCTACAGTAATCTGTTGAAATTGAGGTATTATATTCTAAAATAGACATTGCAAAAGCTATCCCCAGTAAATACCTGGAAGTTGAGCACTTTGGAAAAAAATTCATACATGAATGCATAAAATAACTGGAGAAGTGTGACCGGTATAGAGAAGGAGGACAGAAAACCTTGTAGTCATATTCACATTATGAAATGTTGAATGTTGCAAAGAGAGAAAACTGGTTCCAAGCAGATTCAGAAGGCAAGGAAGAATCCTGCATGAAGCAGCTTTAATTTAAGCTAATGCAGAGCTTCCTAACAAGGCTGCTGCATTGAAGGAGCATGGAGCTTGCTCTTTTCTTTGGCAGAAACTTCACCAGTGGTCATAGGGAAGCAAGCAAAGGCTGCAACTTACAAGTTAGGAATTATCTTGTCACTTGATTTAAAGGATGGGCTTGGAGATCATCACAGTCCTGGGCAAGCATTGTGTCCTACCTTCAAACTGTAGTGATGTGGGAGGAAAATATTTGCGGCCATCCCTACTCAACCAACATGCACGCCTTATAAAATAGTACAGAATATTTACAAATGTCAGGATAACATAAATGCATTGATTTATCTCTTGGTGTACGGTATTATGCAATAAAAAATAGTTTAGGTAGGCCTAAAAGACAATTTTATCCAATAAAATTATGTCTATTTTATCCACTAACTTTTTAAAAATAATTTTCTCAAAATTTGCAGGCCAAGCATACTTCTGCTCTTCAAAGGCATTTAGATGTTCTGCAAGCTTAATTGAAATGCACAGTTTTTTCTGAGAATTTCTACTAAGTAACAATCCTTTCAAGTCAAAGGATACTTGGGGGAAAAGATAGACTTTAACTGCTGATGTAACTTCACTGGGAGCACCTGGGTTTACAGACCTTTTCTGAAGATCAGGAGGTATTTGCAATTTAAATTCATAGATTTTAGTTGAATATGTAGATTGCTTAAATGAGAGATTGAGAATTTGCACCCATTTACCAATAGTTTTGAAATAATTTGCAGATATCTTACATTTTACTTGGTATTGTATAAAATATTTGCACCTGTAACTATAAATTTCTTATTTGATTCTTAAAGTAACCCTGAATGTTTATTATATCAATTAATATAAGCAGATACTGAGGCTCAGGGTGTTTAGGAAGATAATCCAAGGTCACAGAATTAATTAATGTCGTGACCAGAGGAAGAACTCAATTCATTTAATTCTAAATTTTGTTTTACTGTATGTTGCCTTCATCATTTCAGAAACAAATGCCTATATAAAGTCACAGAATCATTCCAAACATTTTCTGATTATTTTTATGTGTACTAAACCATAGCAAAGCTGTATGATCTATGCCCAGGAGATATTCAACAAGTATAGTTACTTATTGTGCTCACTCTAGTGAGAGAGCAGATAATAAATTTAACAAAACATTTTACTTAAAATCATAATTTACTTTGAGGAGGGCTTGTTCTCTGATAAATTAGATCTTTTGTATGCAGATAGGAAAAGTAAGGCCACTTGGCTGCAAAATGGAGTAGACTTTAGAATTTCCCTTTGCATTGCTAGGTTTGCAGGGCTAGCTGGCCATAGAAAAAGCTAGAACCACAGAAGAGTTACATATATACATATATAAATCTATGGGAGGAAATTATGAATGTATATACTTATATATATATATATAATGGATAAAAGATCATCCTTTATATTCTTGAAGTTTGTTGTGGATTTTACTGTAACCTGAAATTGTATAAAACAGTCCCTCAGTTTTTCTTAATTGCCAGAGCTACGGAAAAATTCCAATTTCCAAAAATCATCGGTGAGTTATACCTCAATATGTATGTCCCTGTGCTATTACATATACGTGTGTGTGTGTGTGTATAAAATGGGAGTAACCGTGAACAGACAGCAGAGGCTATTACAAATACGTGTGTGTGTATAAAATGGGAGTAAGCGTGAACAGAGAGCAGAGGGCGCTACTACATATACGTGTGTGTGTATAAAATGGGAGTAAGGGTGAACAGACAGCAGAGGCCGCTATTACATATACGTGTGTGTATAAAATGGGAGTAAGCGTGAACAGACAGCAGAGGCCGCTATTACATATATGTGCGTGTGTATAAAATGGGAGTAAGCGTGAACAGAGAGCAGAGGCCGCTATTACATATATGTGTGTGTGTATAAAATGGGAGTAAGCGTGAACAGAGAGCAGAGGGTGCTATTACATATACGTGTGTGTGTATAAAATGGGAGTAAGCGTGAACAGAGAGCAGAGGCCGCTATTACATATATGTGCGTGTGTATAAAATGGGAGTAAGCGTGAACAGAGAGCAGAGGCCGCTATTACATATATGTGTGTGTGTATAAAATGGGAGTAAGCGTGAACAGAGAGCAGAGGGTGCTATTACATATACGTGTGTGTGTATAAAATGGGAGTAAGCGTGAACAGAGAGCAGAGGCCGCTATTACATATATGTGCGTGTGTATAAAATGGGACTAAGCGTGAACAGAGAGCAGAGGCCGCTATTACATATATGTGTGTGTGTATAAAATGGGAGTAAGCGTGAACAGACAGCAGAGGCCGCTATTACATGTACGTGTGTGTGTGTATAAAATGGGAGTAAGCGTGAACAGACAGCAGAGGCCGCTATTACATATACGTGTGGGTGTATAAAATGGGAGTAAGCGTGAACAGACAGCAGAGGCCGCTATTACATATACGTGTGGGTGTATAAAATGGGAGTAAGCGTGAACAGAGCAGAGGGCGCTATTACATATATATGTTTGTGTGTGTGTATAAAATGGGAGTAAGCGTGAACAGACAGCAGAGGCCGCTATTACATGTACGTGTGTGTGTGTATAAAATGGGAGTAAGCGTGAACAGACAGCAGAGGGCGCTATTACATATACGTGTGGGTGTATAAAATGGGAGTAAGCGTGAACAGACAGCAGAGGCCGCTATTACATATACGTGTGGGTGTATAAAATGGGAGTAAGCGTGAACAGACAGCAGAGGGCGCTATTACATATACGTGTGTGTGTATAAAATGGGAGTAAGGATGAACAGACAGCAGAGGGCGCTATTACATGTACGTGTGTGTGTATAAAATGGGAGTAAGCGTGAACAGACAGCAGAGGCCGCTATTACATATACGTGTGGGTGTATAAAATGGGAGTAAGCGTGAACAGACAGCAGAGGCCGCTATTACATATACGTGTGGGTGTATAAAATGGGAGTAAGCGTGAACAGACAGCAGAGGGCGCTATTACATATACGTGTGTGTATAAAATGGGAGTAAGCGTGAACAGAGAGCAGAGGCTGCTATTACATATAAGTGTGTGTATAAAATGGGAGTAAGCGTGAACAGACAGCAGAGGGCGCTATTACATGTACGTGTGTGTATAAAATGGGAGTAAGCGTGAACAGAGAGCAGAGGCTGCTATTACATATACGTGTGTGTATAAAATGGGAGTAAGCGTGAACAGAGAGCAGAGGCCACTATTACATATACGTGTGTGTGTATAAAATGGGAGTAAGCGTGAACAGACAGCAGAGGCCGCTATTACATATATGTGTGTGTATAAAATGGGAGTAAGCGTGAACAGAGAGCAGAGGCCGCTATTACACATACGTGTGTGTGTATAAAATGGGAGTAAGCGTGAACAGACAGCAGAGGGCGCTATTACATATACGTGTGTGTGTGTATAAAATGGGAGTAAGCGTGAACAGAGAGCAGAGGGCGCTATTACATATATGTGTGTGTGTGTGTGTATAAAATGGGAGTAAGGGTGAACAGACAGCAGAGACCACTGTTTGACTTTGTGAAGCAGCACATGATTTTCCCTCTGTTTCTGGTGTCTTATCGCATGATAAAAGTCAAACCGAAAATGTAGGAAGTGTGGAAGTAGCTGAAATACTGCTAATATTTAGGCTGCGACATAAACTGGAGAGGAGTTTCCCTTTAGAAATATATTTTTATAGGTTCCATTAATGAAACCTAAAAAAAGTAAAATGAGGGAGGTTGTAAGTAATGATGACATTGTACATAGTATCATAAAAATGTATAAAACCTGACACCAAATATTCTGAATTAGCAAAATATACATTATATATATATATAAAATATACATATGATGTATCTATGTGTACATTTTTATATATGTGTGTATATCTGTACACATAGTTTATATCCATAAAACAGCAATCCTGATTATAATAATTTATGTGATCTACTCTCAAGTATGACTAATTTTCATTAGTCACATTAGTTATTACATTGTTAACAATTTAGCAGGTTCACATGCTTGGTACATTTTATTTGCTAATTACAGTAAATGTCTAGCTGCTATTCCCATATAAAGCTTCCTATATACACAATGCCATGTGTATGAATATATAATGAATTGAGACTATCTAGTCCAAACACTCCTGGCACTAACAGACCCCGTGACCACCAACACGTTACCCTCAATGCTGTCATTGGTGAGAGGGGCTTTTATAGCTCCTCACTTCTTAGTTTTATTGTGAAGATCAGGGAGTCAATAGTTACAAAGTACTTCTTAGCATGACACTTTGCAAAATAAACTCCACGATGTCATCATCATTATTCTCAATAGCAACTTCTTTTTCTGGGCAATTGACTCAAATGCTAATATTTTTAGAATATTTAGAGGAGCACTAGACTAGTTTGATCAATTTTACTCCCAAATATGTTGGTAAAATGTCTTTCTTGGGACACTTTTAGCCTTAAACAATGTGAAAAATCATCCTTTACTTCCATGAAGTTTGTTGTGGATATTTGTTTCTTTATTGTAACCTGAAATTGTATAAAACACACTCAGTTTTTCTTAATTATGAAGAACTATGAAAAATTCTAATTTCCAAAAATAATCAGTGAATTATAGCTCAATGTTTACGTCCCTGTGGTATTTCCTCTGAATATTAATTGCTAATACTGATTTCTAATGGTCATGCTAATCATAATCCTAATGCTAATTCCTCATCATCTTAAAATTGAAAATAAATAAAATTCTACAACACTGAATGCCTCTTGTATTGAGAATAATTTTTATGTCTAAATTTGCAAGAGTAGTTTCCGTTGAGTTTCTGTTGCCCTTTTTATTTCATCCCTTATAATTTGTCTGGGACATGGATAAACTAACACCAAGTATACTCTCATGATGTAGACAGTGACTTGTGACCCAAATGGTAGATAACCCGTACTTGTAGCTAAATGGAAGACATGAGCTACTCACAGCCAGCACCAAAGATGTTTTGAAAGTAGTGGTGATGCCAACCATACAAAGACACATTAAATAATAATACAAATTTAAATGCATCTAAGGTAATACACACACGCATACACCGGACCATGGTATGCGTAACTGCTGTGTAGCATGGTATGCAACCTTAGGCATTGTTATGCACATCATCGTAATACAGTATCATCTGCTGACCTCATCTTCTCCAATGTATTTAAGCAATTATTGATTAATAATGACCAATTTTATTTAAAAACCTTCTGGAATAGAGTAAATGCTAGATATCAGTCTCAATGTGGCAAGAATACTATTTTTTAAATGTTTTCTTCCCACTTTTAAAAGTTTGCTGCCTAACAATTAATTCACATGTTGTTATTTTACTGCCCTGGGAATGCTATCATCTTATTTGGAAGATATTACCTTATATCGGCACAACTGTAGGATCAATGGAAGAGTACAACACATCCTCTACAGACTTCACTTTCATGGGGCTGTTCAACAGAAAGGAAACCTCAGGTCTTATTTTTGCCATCATCTCTATCATCTTCTTCACCGCACTGATGGCCAATGGGGTTATGATCTTCCTGATCCAAACAGATTTGCGCCTTCATACACCCATGTACTTCCTCCTCAGCCACCTTTCCTTAATTGACATGATGTATATTTCCACTATTGTGCCTAAGATGCTGGTTAATTACCTGCTGGATCAAAGGACCATTTCCTTTGTGGGGTGCACAGCTCAACACTTCCTCTACCTTACCCTTGTGGGAGCTGAATTCTTCCTGCTGGGCCTCATGGCCTATGACCGCTATGTGGCCATTTGCAACCCTCTGAGATACCCTGTCCTCATGAGCCGCCGGGTCTGTTGGATGATTATAGCAGGTTCCTGGTTTGGGGGCTCTTTGGATGGCTTCCTCCTAACCCCCATCACCATGAGCTTTCCCTTCTGCAATTCCCGGGAGATTAACCACTTCTTCTGTGAGGCACCAGCAGTCCTGAAGTTGGCATGTGCAGACACAGCCCTCTACGAGACAGTGATGTATGTGTGCTGTGTTTTGATGCTGCTGATTCCTTTCTCTGTAGTCCTTGCTTCCTATGCCCGAATCCTGACTACAGTTCAGTGCATGAGCTCAGTGGAGGGCAGGAAGAAGGCATTTGCCACTTGCTCATCCCACATGACTGTGGTGTCCTTGTTCTACGGGGCTGCCATGTACACCTACATGCTGCCACATTCTTACCACAAGCCAGCCCAGGACAAAGTCCTCTCTGTGTTTTACACCATTCTCACACCCATGCTGAACCCCCTCATCTACAGCCTTAGAAACAAGGATGTGACTGGAGCTCTGAAGAGGGCCTTGGGGAGGTTCAAGGGTCCTCAAAGGGTGTCAGGAGGTGTCTTTTGACAGTCGACTCCTTCCCATGCATATGGTAAATGGGGGACTCTGTGGTCACTGTGGCTGTGCTTTCATCAAAAGATGAAGCAAAAAGGGAGGGAGTCATATGATTACAATATTGGTTTTTTGGCTAGGGTTTCTGGTTCATAACTCCATAGTTATGATGTTGTGGTTTTTTAGGCCTCAGAAAACTGAATCTCTCTCTGTGATCTTCGCCTTCCCTCTTTTCACCTGCTTCTTTTTCTCCCCAAAGAAAGCCTTAGAAACTAAAAATATAATCCAATCTTTCCCCGCTTTTGGTCACAAAGAAATTATCTGACTACCTTGTCTGACTGTATGTCATAAGACCTCTGTTTCAAAAGAGGTCTTCTCTCATACCCTGGGGGAGGGAATGCTATACAGAGAGGCCAAGAAAAATCCGATCAGACAGGCCTTCGTGGGTGTCCCCACTCACTCTATCAACATTAGGTCATACTCTTTGTTCAATCATATTTCTGTGCAATTGTCCATGCTTCAATCATGACTATTCAATAAAGTCTCCATATAAGGGCCAAAAGGAGAGGACAGAAAACTTCTGGACAGCTAAACTCATGAAGCTGAACAGGAGGGTGATAAGAACCCATCCATGTGCCTGGAGGGTGGCATGTCCCAACTCCACAGAGGCAGAAGCTCTTATGCTCTTCCAGACCTCACCCTCTGTGTCTTTTCATCTGACTGTTTCTGTGTATCCTTTGTAATATCATTTATAACAAGTGGTAAACATAGGTAAGTGTTTCCTTGAATTCTGTGAGCCTTTATAGTAAACTAACTGAACCCAAGGAAGGGCCGTGGGATCCCCAATTTACAATCACTTGGTCAAAAGTACAGGACAACTTGGGGCTTTTAATTGGCACTGGAAATGGAAGGCAGTGTTATGGGACTGAGCCCTCACCCTGTGGGATCTGACACTATCTCCAGATAGATAGTGGCAGATGGTCATGGGAGTTTAGCTTGGGCTAGAGCATTTGACTGTAGATAGTGGCAGATGGTCACGGGAGTTTAGCTTGGGCTAGCGCATTTGACTGTAGATAGTGGCAGATGGTCACGGGAGTTTAGCTTGGGCTAGAGCATTTGACTGTAGATAGTGGCAGATGGTCACGGGAGTTTAGCTTGGGCTAGCGCATTTGACTGTAGATAGTGGCAGATGGTCACGGGAGTTTAGCTTGGGCTAGCGCATTTGACTGTAGATAGTGGCAGATGGTCATAGGAGTTTAGCTTGGGCTAGCGCATTTGACTGTAGATAGTGGCAGATGGTCACGGGAGTTTAGCTTGGGCTAGAGCATTTGACTGTAGATAGTGGCAGATGGTCACGGGAGTTTAGCTTGGGCTAGCGCATTTGACTGTAGATAGTGGCAGATGGTCACGGGAGTTTAGCTTGGGCTAGCGCATTTGACTGTAGATAGTGGCAGATGGTCACGGGAGTTTAGCTTGGGCTAGAGCATTTGACTGTAGATAGTGGCAGATGGTCACGGGAGTTTAGCTTGGGCTAGCGCATTTGACTGTAGATAGTGGCAGATGGTCACGGGAGTTTAGCTTGGGCTAGCGCATTTGACTGTAGATAGTGGCAGATGGTCACGGGAGTTTAGCTAGGGCTAGAGCATTTGACTGTAGATAGTGGCAGATGGTCACGGGAGTTTAGCTTGGGCTAGAGCATTTGACTGTAGATAGTGGCAGATGGTCACGGGAGTTTAGCTTGGGCTAGCGCATTTGACTGTAGATAGTGGCAGATGGTCACGGGAGTTTAGCTTGGGCTAGCGCATTTGACTGTAGATAGTGGCAGATGGTCACGGGAGTTTAGCTTGGGCTAGAGCATTTGACTGTAGATAGTGGCAGATGGTCACGGGAGTTTAGCTTGGGCTAGAGCATTTGACTGTAGATAGTGGCAGATGGTCACGGGAGTTTAGCTTGGGCTAGAGCATTTGACTGTAGATAGTGGCAGATGGTCACGGGAGTTTAGCTTGGGCTAGAGCATTTGACTGTAGATAGTGGCAGATGGTCACGGGAGTTTAGCTTGGGCTAGAGCATTTGACTGTAGATAGTGGCAGATGGTCACGGGAGTTTAGCTTGGACTAGCGCATTTGACTGTAGATAGTGGCCGATGGTCACGGGAGTTTAGCTTGGGCTAGCGCATTTGACTGTAGATAGTGGCAGATGGTCATAGGAGTTTAGCTTGGGCTAGCGCATTTGACTGTAGATAGTGGCCGAATGGAATTGATTTGGAGGACACCAAGTGGTGTCCACTGCAGAAATGATTGTTTACTTCGTGTGTATCAAAAATCCCCCACTCATTTGGTCCCATACATCTTATATGTTGGTTGTTGTGTGGTGTGGAAGCAGAGGAAAAACAGTTTCATGTGTTTTTTTCCTCAAAGAGCGTTCAACTTGGTGGGAAAAAAAAACTAATGTAAAAAAACGTCCTCTTGATCTCTTTTCCTTCTCTTTTCTTTTTTTCTTATACCTTCCGTTTCTCCTGCCATGTTCACATGTATTCTAAATAAATACAAGAGGGCTCCATAAACACAAAAATGTGTTTCCATCTGCAAGCTGGTAGAAAGAGTCATTGAACATAGTCTTCTTAAACAGGTATTGTACTCACTACAATCAGGTGCTTATTACTTTCAGTAAAAGTACGGTATTTATCTTTTTTTATTTTGCAACACATTAGTGAAAACTATTTGTCAGATAACTTAAAATAAATGGATGAAAGCAAAGGACATTGCCCAGAAAAGACATCATGAGAACACTGCATATCTGAGGGGTAACGGGGTTTCTAAAACACTGGAGAAACATACAGGGGGATGGGTTAGGAAGGCAGTAAAATGCTTTTCAAATATCTCATGAGATCATCAAGATTAAGCATATATCAGCCATGTAATAGTATTAGGGCATAGTTAATATTCATGTTCCATATGGATCCAGGAATTGAGGAAAGAAAGCATGTGCCGATACATGGTTAGTATCCCAATTATATAAAGAGTTCACTCATCATCAAAAGGGTGACTTTCTCAAAATTATAATTCACCATGTGGGGTTATCATTATACAAACATCATCATGGTCATAATCATAATCATATTCATCAATCTCTATCTAAAACTTAAAAATTTATGTGCCTTGCCAGGTTCATCATCCTTTAACAACTTCATAACAAAGGAAGCAGAACTTGTTATGAGTCATAGTTTACATGTAAGAACAGTAAGTTTCAGGGAAGCAAGAAAATTCTGTAGGATAATAATTCTAATTAATAGACTAGATGGCAGAATTTCAAGAAATGTGATTGATAGAACACTATATTCTTCAGATACAGCTTCCTCATTCATTCATTCATGCTTTATAGCTGTGACCAAGACAAACAAAGCAATTGCACTTGAGAAATTTGCATTCCAGTGTGGAAAAGACAATGAACAAAAATAAATACAACAAGTGAGCAAGCAAAAAAACACATATATCCACCATGTTGTGTGTGGTAGCTGTGACTAAAGCTAAACATATCCATATCCTGCACCCCTGCAGGTCCATTCTTGAGTGAATTCTTAATAGATATATTATAGTTTGAATTTGGTTTATTTTGCCCCCACCAAAGCTTATGTTGAAATTTGATCCCCAATATGGTGTTGTTGGGAGGTCAGGCCTAGTGGGAGATGTTTGGGTCATGGAGGCAGACCCTTCATGAATGGCTTGGTGCTATTCTTGTGTTAGTGAGCGAGTCCTCACCCTGGCAAGTCTGAACTACCTCTTGGAGGAATTAATTCATTTCTGGGAGAGTGGGTTGTTATAAAGCCAGTACATCCTTCAGGTTTTGCTCCACCTTTGACCTTCTCCACCATGTTTTGAGCTAGCATTTGTCCCTCACCAGAAGTCAAACAGATGCTGGCCCCATGTTTCTCATACTTCTCAGCCTTCAGAACGATAGTCAAAATCAGCTTCTTTTTTTTTAATAAATTACTCAGTCTCAGGTATTCTTCAATAGCAACATAAAATGGACTAAGACAGAAAATTGGTACCAGGGAGTGGGGTGTTGCTATAAAGATACATGAAAATATAGAAGTGGCTTGGAATTGGGTAATGGGCAGAATTTGGAAGAGTTTGGAGGAGGGGGCTAAAAAAAACTGCATTACCATGAAGGGTGCATTAAGGACAATTATTGTGAGGGCTTAGGAAAAGAGAAGGCTCAGGAGAAAATAAAAAGACAAGAGAAAATTTGCAACTTTTTAGAAATCGTTTTAGTGGTTCTGGCCAAAATGCTGTTAGAAATGTAGACAAGTAAAGGCCATTGTGATGAGTTCTCAGAAGGAAATGAGGAGTATTTATCTGCAAACTGGAGGAAAGGTCAACCTGGTTCTACAGTTGCAAAGAACTTGGGTCCATGATGTCCATGGCCTAGGACTTTATGGGAGACTGAATTTAAGAGTAATGAACTAGAATATCTGGTGGAAGAAATTTCTAAGCATAAAAGCTCTCATGCTGCTATGTAGCTACTTCTAACTGCATAAGGTTAACTGTCAGGAAAAGGGGAAGCAGAGTGTACATTTTTGGAAAATTTGCAGCCCAGCTATGTGGTAAAGAATTCGTGTTTTCAAGAGAGGAAACCAGAGGTACAGCCAAGAGACCCTTTGCTAAAGAGATTAGTGTGGATGAAAAGGAGCCAGGTGCTAATAGTCCAAACAAAGGGAACAAAATCCCAAAGGCATTTCAAAGCTCTTCCATGCTATCCTTCTCTTTGCAGTCCCACGGCCTGAGAAAGCAGAGTTATTTTGAAAGACTATCCTAAGCCTGGTGCCCTGTGTTGCATCAGGACCCTGCTTTGTACATCTAGCAGTGGCTCAAAAAGCCCCATATGTGTCTCTGGCTACTCCAGAGAGCCCAAATGGTAAGCCATAGCTTCCACATGGTAATCTGCAAGTGCCAAAATTAAAAGAGCCATAGAGATATTACATGTGCTACCTAGATTTCACAGGACAGCTTGGAAATCCTGAAAGTCCAGTCAGAAAACTGCCACAGGGGTGGAGCCACTGCCAAGAGCCTCTACTAAGGCAATTCCCACTGGAAATGTGAGCCCAGAGCTGCCACAGAGAGTCCCTACTGGGGCAATGGTTAACAGAACCATGGGGGCAGCATGGGAGTGGGGCCCCAGAATGTTGCAGCCACCAGCAGCATGCAATCTCAGCCTGGAGAAGTGGCAGGCATAGAACTCCAATTTGTGAGAGCAGATATGTGACTATGCCCAGCAATTCCATAAGGGCGGAGGTGCCTGAGGCCTTGGGAGCCCATCCCTTACACCAGTGTGCCCAGGATCATGGAGTCCAGTAAGATTTTTCTGGAACTTTAAGATTTAATGTGTGCCCTGCTGGGTTTCAGACTTACATGGGGTCTGTCATTTCTTTCTTTTGGTCAAATTCTCCTTTTTGGAATGAGAATGTTTACCAAATGTCTGTCCCACCATTGTAATGTGGAGGTAAATAACTTGCTTTGCTTTCACAGGCTCATAGTTGGAAGGAGCTTGCCTTCAGTCTCAAATGAGACTTTGTACTTTAAACTTTTGAGTTGGTGCTGGGACAAGTCAAGACTCTAGGGACTACTGGGATGGAATGATTGTATTTTTGTATGTAAGAAAGCCATTGGTTTTTGGAGTCAGAGGCAGAATGCTATGGTTTGGATATGGTTTGTCTCTACCAACATACATGTCGAAATTTGATTCCCGATGTGGTGGTGTTGAGAGGTGGTGCCTAGTGGAAGATATTTGGGTCATGGGGTCATATCCCTCATGAATGGCTTCATGCCATTCTTGTGATAGTGAGTGGGTTCTCACTCTGGCAAGACTGGATTAGTTCTTATAAAAATAGATTAGTTCCTAGGAGAGTGGGTGGCTATAAAGCCAGATGTTCCTCTGGTTTTTGCCTCTCTCTTCACACATATCTGCTTTACTCTGTGACCTTTACCATGTTTTGACCAAGCACATGGCCCTTACCAGAAACTGAGCAGATACTGGCACCATTTTTCTTGTATATCCTGCAGAAATGTGAGCTAAATAAATCTCTTTTATTTAAATTACTCAGCTTCAGATATGCTGTTACAATGACAAAAAACAGATAACATGTATGCATAATGTTACCAAAAGACATATGGTAACATAAAATATGGAAGCAATCAAAAGCCCACTGATGGCGAAATGGATAAATTGTGACATGTTCATAAAATAAGAATAGATGTTCTAATACTACTTACAAACATATTGTTGAACTAATGAAGCAAGCTACAAAAGAGTACCTTCATATGAAGTACAGATCCAGCAAAACTATCCTATACTGTTGGAGGGACGGTGGCTGGAAGGATGCATGAGCATGTTCTTGAATTTCTGTTTATTGATGTCAATGCTGATTGTATACCCAATGTTCAGTTTAAGAAAATCAATCAAGTCTAAATTTTTTGTATATTGAATACCTTTTTGTGTGTACATTATGCTCTGATACAAATTTAAAATATAACTCATAATAATGTGGTAAATACAATAGTATAATGGGATAGTGGAGGTAGGTGGAGGGTTACCCTAGATATGGTGTTCAAGAAGGTTTCTGAGGCTGTATTTGAGAAAAAAAAAGAGACAGGAATAGAAAGATCCAGGTGTAGAGCCTTCCAGGTAGGAAGAATAACACGGGCCAATGTTCTGAAATGGCAATGATGTGTTCAGAAGGCTTGACAGTGATGCAGATCCCGAATGAGTAATGGGTGGAGAAGGCAAGTCTGAAAACATGGGTAGTGACCAGATCAGAAAAGGCCTTTCATGCTGTGGTACAGAAGTTGGAACTTGACTTAATTTGCAAAGAAAAACCATTGAGAGGTTTCAAACAAAGAAAAGACAGATTATAAATAACATTCTGAGAATGCTACTCTAGCTGCTTTATAAAGAATGAACTAAAAACACCTGTTAGGAGGCTTTTCCTGCGTTCTAAAGAGAGACATTTTCAGCACGGGTTAGAGTTTTAGGAGTAGAGGTGACAGGAAGTAGTATCACTGGGATGCACTTGAAGGTGTGAATAACAGGCGATGATTAATAAAGTATGAGGTCTGAAGGAAATAGAATCCAGAAGAGTGCCCAGGTTTTAAGCTTGAGCAACAAAATTGATAGTGGATCTATTTGTTGAAATGGAGTGAAGACATTTCTATACTTTTAATTTATTTTTTATGTTTTTGAGGAATATTGTGCTTTGATTGTATCAAGTTAAGCAAGAGATGATAACAGCATGATGAGTTTTGCCTTTCAGAAAGCAGTAGCATTTATCGAGCCCGAGAAGTTGAGTCTGTAGTGAGCCATGATCGTGCCCTGCACTCCAGCCTGGATGACAGAGTGGGACCTTGTCTCAGAAAAGAAAAAAAAAAGCAAAAAGCAGTAGCATTTAGAAAGCAGTTATTACTATATTTGACTCTCAATGACGGAAGATATCATAAGTCAACACCTAGAAAAGGCTAGCGATAGATACTTTTATTGATTTAAAGTACTTTTTAATGGCTAGTGATGGATACATCTTATGAACTTTCCTTTTGGGTTATGCATCTTGGCATTTCAAAAATAATCTTTGGGTAATGTTTTCAAAACTTTAACATTTTCAAAAAGCTCTGTTTGAAATACCATTTGACCCAGCAATCCCATTACTGGGTATATACCCAAAGGATTATAAATCATGCTGCTATAAAGACACATGCACACATATGTTTATTGGGGCACTATTCACAATAGCAAAGACTTGGAACCAACCCAAATGTCCAACAATGATAGACTGGATTAAGAAAATGTGGCACATATACACCATGGAATACTATGCAGCCATAAAAAATGATGAGTTCATGTCCTTTGTAGGGACATGGATGAAGCTGGAAACCATCATTCTCAGCAAACTATTTCAAGGACAAAAAGCCAAACGCCGCATGTTCTCACTCATAGGTGGGAATTGAACAATGAGAACACATGGACACAGGAAGGGGAACATCACACACCAGGGCCTGTTGTGGGGTCGGGGGGAGAGGGATAGCATTTGGAGATATACCTAATGTTAAATGAAGAGTTACTGGGTGCAGCACACCAACATGGCACATGTATACATATGTAACTAACCTGCACATTGTGCACATGTACCCTAAAACTTAAAGTATAATAATAAAAATAAAGAAAACACAGAAAAAAACCCCAAAAAGCTCTGTTTTACCTCAATCCAATGATTTTATGCATCAATATTCTTTCTTATGAGCACGGTCATCTGCAGGGGAATGTGGGGTGTGTGTATAAGATTAAGAGCTTTATTATGAGTATGTTAAGTTTGAAATGTCTATTGAATATCTAAATAAAAATGTCAAGCAGCTAGATATTTTAGTCTAGATATCATTTTAGGTGGTAGATGTGAAGACAGGTTTCAGAATTATTGATACGCAGATTATGTGTTAACAGAATTAAAGAATAGGACAAGAGAATTTCAATATTTAAATACTAGACCACAAAAAAAGTGACAAGAAAGGGATAAAAAAGATGTGGAGCACCCAGAGGAGTGTGGTGTGGTAGAAACTTAGAAAAGACAGTCTTTTTAATAGAAGGGAGGGGTCTACATGTGAGTTTTTGGGTAAAGTTTAAGTAATGTGAAACAGAAAGTTGATTGCCTGAGAGTGCAAGATAACAGTCGTTCCTATCCTTCACAGAGGGGCTTCGATGGAGTGATTGGACAGAATATCTTGTGAAGTAGACTAAGGAGAAAGGAGGCTCAAAAATTGAAGAAAATCACAAAAGTTTGCTCTGAATAATGGAACAAATATAAAGTTATACATGGATAGTGACATGGGGTTAAGGGAATATTTTTTATATATGTATATGTACATATACATATATGTGTATGTATTTTTATATTTATTATGTATATTACATATAATATATATGTATGTTATATATATTTTTATATATGTATATATATGTGTGTGTGTGTGTGTGTATATATATATGCTGTTGACAAAAGCCAAACTCTCTAAAATATTTGAAGAGGTTTATTTTGAGCCAGATATGAGTGATCATGGCCTGTAACACAGCCTCAAGAAATCCCAAGAATAATCTTACCAAAATTGGTCAGGTGACAGCTTGGTTTTATACATTTTAAGATGACAGAAATTACAGGCAATATACATTTTAAGGAGAAGACAGAAATTAGAGGCAAAGACATAAATCAATGCATGTAAGATGTATGTTGGTTTGGCACGGAAAGGCGGGACTTCTTGAAGTGACAACTTATAGGTCATAGGTGGATTCAAAGATTTTATTATCAGCAGTTCGTTGAAAGAGTCAATCCTTGTCTAAAGACTTAAGAAATCAGTAGAAAGAAATGCTTCAGTTAGGGTAAGATGGTTTTCAAAACCACAGTTCTTGTTATATAGACGAAGCCTCTAAGTAGCAGGCTGCAGAGGGAATAGATTGTAAAATGTGTAAGACTCTTAGTTAAGTATCTTCTGGGTCCATAAAAGACCCAGAAACGGAAGGAGATTCTCTAGAGAATGCAAATTTCCCCCACAGGAAATGGCTTTGCAGGACCATTCTAAAATGTGTCAAAAATATATTTTGGGGTAAAAGATCTTGATTTTCTTCAGGACCTGCTATCTGTCATATGATACTATGCCAGAGTGAGGTTAGAATTTGGTATCTTGTTGCTGCAGAGAGTCTGTTTTGTCAGCCTCAGGACCTCTATTTTAACATTACTGTTGCTCAGTTGTGCCTAAACTCCAAAGAGAGGGGGTAGAAAGAGTCATGTCTGAACTCTCTTCTAGTTGTTTGGTTTCTTTGCGATCTCCTTAACCAGGAGAGTGTCAGTTGGGGTGGGGGCTTAGACTTTTATTTTTGGTTTACATTATTCTCCCTCAGGTCAAGATTTTCCAGAGGCAACATTGATGGCCAAAGTTTTATTTGTCCTCTATTGTTGCCAGAGTGTGTGGCTATGGCTATCTGCCCCAGGTGCATCATGTTCTTTGGTGGGATCCGTATGGCCAAGGGGCTTAGAGCCAAAAGACTTATAGCAAATTTAAATGTTGTAGGGCTGGATGAGAATGGAGATGGGCAGGCATTTATCAGCCGTTAAGATCTTTAAGCAATATAAGAGCCCAAAACCAAAAGATAAGGTTACAAAATTGACTTATCAATACATTCTGTGCATTGAGCAATACAATAATCTTGATTTTTGTTACAGACTTCTAGCAATTAGCTGTAAATAACAAAAGCATTTTGTTGAAACCATTTAAGCTAAAGAACACAGAGGCTTGTTTTGTGCTGCAGTGCTTTTTCGTGGTCTTTTTCATCATTTGTCCTGAGGTGGCTGATTTAAAAAGTTACATATATCTGCATAAATCTCACAGCTAGGAGCAGTATATCCAGGAGGCTTTGTGACGAGGTTTCTTGTTATGCTCTTGGTAATTTTCTTTTAATCCTGGGACAAGCATAAAATTCTTTATAGTTGGGATGGATGGAAAGCAGCCATGTAATAGCCCAGGAGGAAAAGGCCCCTACCTTGCCAGCTGTTTAGGCATCTGGATGTCTGTCCTTGATTTGGAGGCTCTGAAATAATTCTGTCTCTGAAATTAATCCCTTACAAGCTCACCTGCCCACCTCTTCCACAGTAGCCCCTGGGTCTAGAGGGAAGGTGCCTATGTAGCCTTAGTAGCAAGGTGTTAGCAATGAAGACAGATCAGGCCCAGTGAGAGTCTAAGCAGGTTTTACATTTGGCAGATATTAGGTAGAGAGACAAAGGTAATCTATCTGTGTTTTACCAATTTTGTAAGCTACATATAGCTCAAAAGGAAAAGGCATTTCTTTTTTTACTCTGGAAAACAAAATGTAAGGAATCAGCAACATTTTAAAGAAAAAGAGCTTAATTCCTGCCTTGCTCTGACAGAAGACGGAAACTCACAGGTAGCTAGCATTTATTATCTAACATTAAGGCATAGAACAAATTATATTAATTTAGATAGAGAAAAAATTATTAAATGAGTATTCATGCCTTTGTATACAAGCCTGGTTTAGTGTCATACAAAAGCAGTTTTTTTCACTCTCATCTTCTCCCAGCTCTGAAGATGAGGCTTTGGTTAACTTACATTTGATGTCAGATACTGATAGCGACAGGAAGCAGAAAAATTCTGGGCCGAAGAGGGTGGGTGAGGGCCCCACCCTCAAACCTGGAACTGTGGCCCAGAGTGAGAACATACATTCCTGTTTCCCACTCTAATGTTGCCTTTTCTAAAACTACCAATGGCCTGTCCCCACCATCATCCTGTGCCCATAAAATCCCAGGCTCAGCTGGCAAAGAAGAGAAGCAGCAGGACATCAGTGACTATGCCTGGATGTTGGAGCAAATTGGCTTCATTTCAGAGAGACAGCTTGATGGTATAGCTTCAGAGCTTTAGGGGAAGCTTACCTTCCCAATCCATTCCCTTTTCTGCTCCCCTTCCCACTGAGACCCACTTTCATCAGCAATGAAATCCCCGCATTTACCATCTCCAATTTGTTCCTGCAACCTCATTCCTCTTGGATGTCAGACAAGAACTTGGGTGCAGGTGCAAAAGGCTGTCACATTTACCCTCCACTAAGCTGTTAACACTTAAGCCATCTGTGGATGTCAAAGCTAAAAGGGCACTGACTGTAACACTCCTTCTGGGGCTTTGGGGGTCACAGGCACTCCCCTAGACGCTGCCATGGGGCCAGAATGAAGTTCGTTCCTGCCGGCACCCAAAAGTGCTAGCCCCAGCTCCTGCACCTGCTCAGCTGCATGCTTCCTCCCGTGATGGGTTGATCACAGCAGGTTTGAGTGAACAGAGTTTGCACCTGCTGGCACCGTGCACTCCAGTTCCTGCCCACAAAGGACTCAGGGAAAATTTCTCGCTTCAATGTCAGCATTGACATTTAAGATTCAGTAGGAGTCAGTGCTCCTTTTTAAATGAGATATGTGTACCCAGAAGTCAAATACCTGAAACTTAAGAGCAAAAAGGTTAGTAACAATATTTGATAAAGACCCTTTTCAATGAGGCTGGAGGGAGTTTTTTAGGTGAGATCTAATCATCAGGCTGGAGGTGGTGATAGTGGAGTTTATGACTTAATTGAAAACTGTAAAAAGATGGTATAGCACTGGGTAATTAATTTGTATAGTTTTGATGAACCCCCGGCAATAAGTCTAAGTCAGAGACTTAACTTAGAATTTGATTTTTGAGGATGTTTGTCAAAAGATATTGAAAGGCTCAAAACATTTGATTAAAATGAATCAAAAGTCATTGTAAAATAATAGTTATTCATTTAACCAGAATGGTAATCAAAAGACTTCAAAAGCAATATAGAAAGTTACATGAATATAAAACCCTACCTGGTTTTAAACCTATACTTTTAGGTTTTAAAATGGTTAAGGGTTTTATAACAACACAGTAATTATCTTAAAATCTGTATTTCCTAGGCTAGCTGTCAAAAAGTAAAGAAAAACCTTATGCAGAGTGATTGTTTTGAGTCATTGGAAGCCCATTTGGATAACCTGAAAGTCAAGCCTCATGAAAAGATAATGTGAATTAATCAGACACAGGAAGAGTGTGTTCCATGTCATGAGTGAACACTGTTATAGAGACCTTGAGCAGGGGAATATGTGACTCTTAGCAACAGCATGGGATGTTGCCTGGGTATACTGAGCACTTTTAAACCTATGTTAGAGCTCAGAAAACAATATCCCAAAATGAAGGATTTAGAGGCAGCTGCAGAAGTAAAAGTTTTTCTTTGGCCTTCTTCTGGCTTCCTGTTTGCAAGTCCCATGCTCCCTCAAGGCGGGTCATAGCAACTAGAATCTCGCTTTCCCAAGATGAGTCCTCAAAACTGAAACTCCTTTTTCTCAAAGCCAGCCATAAAACCTAAAAATATTACTCCAATATTTTCTCTGCCTTTCTGTGAAAGAACATAAGGATATTATCTGATCTTCCTTTTGAACTGTAGAGTGCAAGACCCCCACACAGAGAAGGAAGAAAATGAATGTTCAAGGAGGTTAAGAAGAATCTACACAGGCAGGTCTTGCTGGGGTTTCCCCACACAGTCCACTAACATTGAATTATACCCTTTTCCATCATATTTTTAGATGGATGTCCCTAATTTTTTGAACCTAAGCATAAAAATGCACAATTTCCCCCATTTATTGGATCTTTGTTCTGAGCACACCCATGTATACATGCCCAAAAAACTGCATATCTGCTTCTCAATGAATCTGTCTTTTTTGAGTTGATTTTTCAGTGAACCTTCAAAGGGACCCTGGCCCCTACACATTTTAAGAAAAGTCAAGAGTAACAAATTAAGTTACAACAGAGGAAGACATCACTTTTTTAAATCTTCAAAAGAAAACATTTTAGTATCAGGCTATAACACAGTTAGAATTGAAGAAAAAAATAGTTATAGGAGACAACAAAAGTTAAAAGAGGGAGTTACCATTCCAGGCCTTCTCAAAGGGAGAAAAGCTGAAAACAGTGGGGTATATCAGGAGTTAAGCTTCTGAAATATCAATCTGAGAGATTTCTTTCTTTTTTTTTTTTTTTTTTTTGAGATGGAGTCTCGGTCTGTCACCCAGGCTGCAGTGCAGTGGCGCAATCTCAGCTCACTCCAACCTCCACCTCCTGGGTTCACGCCATTCTCCTGCCCCAGCCTCCCAAGTAGCTGGGACTACAAGTACCCGCCACCACACCCAGCTAATTTTTTGTATTTTTAGTAGAGACAGGGTTTCGCCGTGCTAGCCAGGATGGTCTCAATCTCCTGACCTCATGATCCACCCACCTCGGCCTTCCAAAACACTGGGATTACAGGCGTGAGCCACCATGCCTGGCCTCAGAGAAATTTCAAAAAGAGATTATAGAATTAAAAATGTAAAGCTTTTTGTAATTTCATCAAAAGTAAATCAATACTTTAAGAAAATATATTTGTTCTAACCAATTCGTCAGTTTTATATTCATGTATTTTATGAACTTTTATTTTAGGTTCAGGGGGGTACTTGGGTAGGTGTCATATAGGTAAATTGCATGTAACAAGGGATTGGTGTACAGATTATTTCATCACCCAAGTAATAAGCATAGTACCCAATAGGTGGTTTTTCTATTTGTGTATTTTTAATATTAAATCCCAATCTCTAAAAACACTAATACGAATAATTCTTTTTAAATTATCACCAGCTTAATCACATACAAAATTGTTTTGCAGTGAGCAGGTCTATACAAACCTATCCAAAGTTGGAGGAAGCTGAGATGCTGAAGAAAGAGGCTGATAAATACAGTTTCTTAGGCAGAAACAATTAATAGGGACTTATGAACAGAAGCCATGTCTGTGTCTCAGGCAGCAGTGAGATAAGATGGTAAATTCCTGTGCCATTAACCCCAGAACCCAGGGCTTATATGCCATAGAGAAGGAATGATTCAGAAGGCATATGTGGGACAACTGAAGTATGATAATGTAAAAGTTGTTTGTCCTAAGGGCAGGATTTATAATAAGTACCTGTTCTTACACAAGGAGCAATAAATAAACTGGAAATCTTAAAGGTCTTCCCACCTGGAGTTAATCAGAAGCCAACAGGGCAGATCACCATTCAAGATGGAGTTACTTGAGCCTCCCATCTAAGAAAGAGTAGCTTTAGCCTCCAAAACATTTCTTTCATAAATTCTCTTTATAAACTTTATCATATCTTACACAGACTATTTATGACATACTTGGACTTTCTGTTTTGTCCAAAATTTCCCTCTTTCTTAAATAACGAGTTTTTTTTTTTTTTAGGACTAAATTTACTATACAAGACTCTTTCTCATACAAAATTATTCTTTTTACCCAATTTTTAAAATAAATACATCTTTGGATTTGTATAATAGCCTTTGAATTTGACAAAGATTATTTTCCTTTTAATAAGAACATATTTTTATGTCTTTATTATAATTTCTTTTTCATAAAAAAACTTACTTTGGCACTCTTTGAATACAGAATTATATATTAACAAGAATTTTTATTCTTAGTAACCTTAATTTTTTGTGAAAACCTAGGAAGTAGTAAATCTTGAATTGTCTGTCATATATCAGTATTTTATAGATGAGAACCGTTTTATATTATTTTAGAAATATGTTTTTCTGTTTTTTAAATTAGAAGTGATCCAGACACTAAATGAGTATTATTTAATTTAACTTTAAGATTTTAAATTATATGACAAGTTCATTTATAAGCACTTATCCCATTAAAGTTAACTAACTTATTTTTTAAAATAGTTTTCCTAGGTTACTTATAAAAACTGACATATTAGACAAAGCTAGTCATCATTAGTTATTTTCAGCTAACCATTCTTATAGGCTGTGTTTATTTCAGGTGTTTACCTACATAAGAACCTAAATGTTAAATATATGTTTATTTGATTTTTTTTTTTGCCAGCTAAGGTTTTACCTATTTTCAATAAATCAACAATATTAAATGTCTTATTTATAAAAAATTATGCAAAGATCATTAAGGGATGGGTTTTATAGTTTTATAACCTTCATGACAAAGTTTGGTACTTTATAATATCAACACAGCTAAATACAAAACTATTTTACCAATAAATCCAGACAAAAATGTACGCTGACAATTCTGAAGGCATTTCAAATTTTATTTTACTAATAATTATAAAACCAGATTACTTATTGAAGATTTACTTGTCATGTGAACTTGAAGAGCATTTGGACTTTATTAGTTTATGAGTAATCCTTTATTTTTAAGCCCATTTGATACCTTGCAGTTACAACATATAAGAAAATACATGTACATGTAACATAAACACAACTCAACATAGATACACGGATACAAAGATCCCATAGATTTTATTTCAGAATTCTAGTCACAAGACAGCAATACAGATTCACCAGCTTGCAAAAGATGGTTTAATTTAAACAATGGGTTTTATCTCAATACCAGTAGAAAAGCAACAATACATTTAAAACAGAAAAAGAAAAGAGAGAAATCAAGAACTAAGCAGATGCCATATTTAATTCTATAGTTGCAGGTCAACTTTGAGCTCTGAATTTACCCATCAGTTTACAAATGTGCCAGAACAGACTATAATACATAACCAGCCAGAGTACTAGAAAACCAAGCATGCTCTCAAAACTTCACATTTACACAAACAATTGCGAGTGCCATAAAACCCCCAGGGGTGCCCCAAAGGAGGTCATCTCCTTGTCTTTTCTCAATCTTAGAGGATTTGCTTCCCAGGTTTTCTTTTTTTTAATGGAGGAGCCAGACTGTAGTGTGGGTTTCAGTGCAGTGGGGCTCAGAAGCTGTCTCTCATTCATTTACACAAAGTCAGGTTTTTCAAGCAAATGCACAGATGAACCAATTGAGACTAATTTTTGGAGAAAAAAGCAATGAGAAGACTCTAGAATGAACCTGTGAATCCAAAATTAGAATCTGAAACAACAAGTTCCCAGGAAAAGACCAGCTCAGAATAAACCAAAGTACTATTAACCACGTAAGGGTTCTGTGGCTCAGGAAGACTTACTTACCAGTTCCACCTATGGAGAAGCTCAAAGTCAGGAGGCTTTCAATGAGCCTGCAGCAGGAGAATATGATCTGGAGACCTGGAGACAGGGAACTTAAGGCCAATTTATGCTAACTTCCTAAAAGAGAAAACACCAAGGTCTGGAAGCAGGACCTGGACAACTTGTAGTCAAGACCCTCCACTGGTAACAAGCCCATATTGGTACCTTATTTCCAAGTTCACACAACTTCTTTTGGGGAGGAGAGTCCTTAGTCTTCTCTGAGGTCCTGCATTGGGCACCAAATAATGTTGATGAAGAAAAGTGAAACTCTAAAATATTTGAAGAGGTTTATTCTGAGCCATGAGTGACCATGGCCCAGGACACAACCCCAGATGTTCCTGAGAATATGTGCCCATTGTGGTTGGGTTATAGCTTGGTTTGATACATTTTAGGGAGACAAAGTTATAATCAAAGAGATAAATCAATACATGAAGGGTATATATTGGTTCCAGAAAATTTAGACATGTTAAAGTCAAGGCTCCCAGGTCAGAAATAGATTCACCAATTTTCTGATTGGCAATTGGTTGAGTTAAGCTTTGTCTAAAGACTTAAAACGTCAGTAGAAAGGAATGCATAAGATTACATAGTTGTGGAAGCCAAGGTTTTTGTTATAGAAAGAAACGCTTGAGTTAAGATAATGGGGTTGCGGAAGCCAACGTTCTTGTCATGTAGAGGAAGCTTCCATGTATCAGGCTTTAGAAACAATAGTTGGCAAATGTCTCTCTTTCACCTTAAAAGGTGTCAGGTTCTTAGTTACTCTCTCCTGGATCTGGAAAAGGCTTAGCGGCATTAATAAAGTTTCTCTACAGATGCAAAATTTCCCCCACAAAAGATAGCTTTGCAGGGCCATTTCAAAATTTGTCGAATAAATATATTTCAGGGTAAAGTATTTTTATTTACTTCATGGTTTGCTATCTGTCATGTGGTGCTATATGAGAGTCAGGTTGAAATTTAGTATCTTATTACCACCTATAATCTGTTTTGTCAGTCTCATGATCTCTGTTTTAATGTTAATGCTGGTCAGTCATTTAGCACTCAATGGAAATGCTAGAGACCACAAGTATTTAGCTTAACTCTTTCAACAAATTGCCAGTCAAAAAACTTTTTAATCCACCTATGAAAGCTTCTCAGTAGCAGGCTTCAGAGAGGATAGATGGTAAAAGGTGTCAGACTCTTAGTTAAATGTTTTCTGGATCCTTATGAGACATAGAAAGGGAAGCAGATTCTATACAGAATTCAGATTTCCCCCAGAAGAGTTGGCTTTGCAGGGCCATTCCAAAACATGTCAAAGAAATACATTCTGCGGTAAAATACTTTTATTTCCTTCAGGGCCTGTTATCTGTCATGTGATTCTATATCAGAGTCAGGTTGGAATTTGCTATTGTTGCCACAGTCTGTTTTGTCCGTCTTATAATCACTGTGTTAATGTTAATGCTGGTCAGTTGTACCTAAACTCCAAACAAACGGAGTACAAGGAGTCATGTCTGACCTCCCTTCCTGTCATGGCCTGAACTAGTTTTTCAGATTTCTTTGAGATCTCCCTGGGCAAGAGAGTTCCCATTCAGTCAACTACAGGGCTTGGGATTTATTTTATTATTATTATTATTACTATTTTCTGAGGTTGCAACACAGAGCCCAAGTAGGAGGTCTAATTTTGGATAGAGGCAGAAACACTGTCTCATGGAATGCAAGAGTAAATACAATAAAATCAGAGAGATGGAAAATAGAGTACACTCAAGTATGTTGCTTATTTTCAGTCTTCTGATGCCTAATCCCTCATTGTTTTGTAGTCACATGGTTATTTCTTGGTTCTTTTATAACATTTTTCACAACTGGATTGCTATGATTGTGCAGACACTGTCTACTAGAGTCAAATTTTGTTTTGAAATAGTTCATTATTTTATTTAACTGCGTAAACTAGTTTAGTCTATGATGAATTAATAGACAGATGTGAAAAATTTTAAACTCCTCTGTCAGGGCTCAGAACAAGATCCTTCCAAATATGGCTTCTTGATGAAATCTAAAAGTAAAACCCTAAGCCCCCCAATCAACTGAATGGATTCCCCTTCTTGGCCAGTGGAGCTGAGAGCAATCTGAAAAAGTAAATTTCAGGCCATGAGGGAAGGGGGATTGGGCACACCTTGTTGCACTCCCTCCATTGTGGAATTAACATTAAAATAGAGATCACAGGACTGACAAAACAATAAGATACCAAATTCCAACCTGACTCCCATATAGCATCACATGACAGATAGTAGACACTGAAAGAAATAAAAATATTTTACCACAAAATATATTTATATGACAGATTTCGAAATGGCCCTGCAAAGCTATCTTTTGTGGGGGAAATTTTGCATCTGCCATTAGTGCAGCTAGGCCTTTTCCAGATCCAGGAAAGATAGACTGTGAGGCTCACACCTTTTAAGGTCCAAAAAGAGACATTTACCATCTATTCTTTCTGAAGCCAGCTACATGGAGGCTTCATATATGTAACAAGAATCTTAGCTTCCACAAACTCCCTTACCTTAACTCAAACATTTTTTTCTACTGACTTCAAGTCTTTAGTTTAACTCTTTCAACCAATTGCCAATCAGAAAAATCTTTGCATCCACCTATGACTCATAAGCCTTCCACTTCATGTCCTGCTTTTTCAGGCTGAAACAATGTATATTTTACATGTATTGATTTATGACTTTGCCTGCAAGTTCTTTCCCTAAGTTTTAGGGAGACAGAAGTTACCCTGGGCACACTTTCTCAGGATCTTCTGAGGCTTTTCCCCGGCCATCGTCACTCATATTGGCTCAGAATAAACCTCTTTAAATATTTTACAGTGTTCAGCTTTTTCATCAAATGCAAACTTGACATACTAAATAAGCTGAAGAAAACTGAGAAAACCGAAGAGGTAGAAAAGTCACTTTCTGATTTTTTCTGCCCTTCTCCCCTGAGAGCTGTCCACAAAAGAATTCTCAGACCTACCTGTTCTGAGAGAAGGTAATAAGCCCTTTATTCCAGAGGGGCCCTGACCAATGCCCAGAGGGAAAAAAATGTCACATGGGGAGGCCACTAAGAATCTGAACAAACCTCGCTAAGTCCTCCTCCTAAGTTTATTTCCATTATATCATATTTTTAAATGTTCTAATCATACTTTTAAGGCTCGCATGCCTCATGAAACTTCTACTAAGTAAATTTGCTATACTTTTCTGTTGCTAATCTGTCTTTTGTTAGAAGTTACCAACCACGAACCTTTTGATGAGCAAGGAAAAAATGTCTTACTTCCCCCCCACCCCCGCCCCCTGTACCACTAATTATAAACTTTGCAAAGTTTTGATACTATCATCTTATGGTGTGACCCATCTCATTCACAGGGAAGTCACAACACAGCTCATGTGGTCCATGCAGTCCATTTATACGGGATTTTGCTAAAGTTTCTATACTCCTAGATTCTTAGGCTTAGCATCACTAAGAGGGATAGAATGTGTGTCTGAACTGTATCCGTTCATTATATCAGGGACAGAATGTGTGTCTGAACTGTATGCATTCATTATATCAGGGATAGAATGTGTGTCTGAACTGTATGCATTCATTATAACAGGGATAGAATGTGTCTCTGAACTGTATCAGTTCATTATATCAGGGATAGAATGTGTGTCGGAACTGTATCCGTTCATTATATCACGGATATGAGGTGTGTCTGAACTGTATGCATTCATTATATCAGGGATAGAATGTGTCTCTGAACTGTATCAGTTCATTATATCAGGGATTCAATGTGTGTCTGTGAACTGTATCCGTTTATTATATCAGGGATATGAGTTGTGTCTGAACTGTATCAGTTCATTATATCAGGGATACAATGTGTGTCTGTGAACTGTATCAGTTCATTATATCAGGGATATGAGGTGTGTCTGAACTGTATCAGTTCATTATATCAGGGATACAATGTGTGTCTGAACTGTATCAATACACATAACCTACTTCTGAAACACAGTAAGGACAGGGCTTGGCCCCCACTCCTACTATCACATTTTTTTTCCCGTACCTGCCAACTTCCAGACCTTGCACCACCACCTCCACTGGCACGATACCCACTGCATGGATAACTTGAAGAAACTAAGATAAGCAGCATTCCACCATAAATCTTATTCAAGGGAGTTAACCTTATCACTCACATGTGCATAAGACCAGAAGAATGACTGATCTTTACCCCTTGCTTCATTATAATACTAAAATCTCCACCCAGGGAAGGGCTTACCCACCATTTTTTGATCATGCAATGTATGTGTTCACATAATTTCTCACTGTGCCTGCATATCCTGTGCTCCACTCCACATGTATAAAGAGCCTCCCATACCTCATGATTATCCATGTCACTCATCTTAAAACACAGCAAAGGCCTAGCCATGGGGAACCAGCCAGAGAACTGTCATTCCAGTGCTGTCTCCCTTGTGTTCGAGCACAAGCCCTTAATAAAGCCTTGTCTGGAAAACTTGCTTGGTCTCATGTCCATTTCTATTGCACAGGAGCCCAAGAACCTGTGGTTAGTAATACTTTCACATTTTGGCCTGAATGAATCAGGTACTGTCTGTTTAGCTGATAGGTGACTAGTTTCCTTTATTATTTTCATAGTTTTACATCTTATGTATCAATATGGTTTGGCTCTGTGTCCCCACCTAAATCTCATGTTGAATTGTAATTCCCAGTGTTCAGGGAGGTAGCTGGTAGGAGGTGATTGGATCCTGGGGTGGATTTCCCCCTTGCTGTACTCATGATTCTGAGTGAGTTCTCCTGAGATCTAGTTGCTTGAAAGTGTGAAGCACTTCCCCTTTCACTCTCTCTCTCCTGCTCAGCCTTGTAAAGATTGTACCTGCTTCCCCTCCACCTTCCCCCATGATTGTGTGTTTCCCGGGGCCTCCCCAGCCATGCTTTCTGTAAAGCCTAAGCAACTGTGAGTCAATTAAACCTCTTTTCTCCATAAATTACCCAGTCCCAGGTATGTCTTTATGGCAGCATGAGGACGGACTAATACGGTATCTATCTGTAAACAACAGAGTTTACTCTTGCCTAATTTTGAACTTTAAAAATGAAGTTACTTTGAATATATTATTTTGACTTTTTTGCTAAATATAATTTTTGTGATATTCAGCTCATTATCTTGTATAGTTTGCTCATTTTCCTTAGCATATGCAATGTCATTGAATATCTTAATTGATATATTTATTCTATAGTTATTTGGTATGTATGTTATTTTCAGCTTGGGGCTATTATGAATGTTTTTGCTATTGACATTTATGTCCTTATGTTTTCATATATAAATGCAAAAAACATAGTGCATATACCTATGGGTAGAATTGATGGGTATATATTTTTCTGACTTATAATGAGGTTGAGTAACTTTTCTTTGATTTATCAGCCATTTAGAGTTTCTCTTTTGTAAAGTACCTATTCAAGTATTTTTCCCATTTGCTATCAAATTTTGGCCTTTTGTTATAGACACATAAGAATTTTTTTATACATGTGCTGGATATTTTGTTTTCAGTTTTGTTACACATCTGCTAGTTTGTGACCTATCCAAGTGTTTAAATTTTATTTATTTGTAAATTGAATTACCAACATTTTACTTTATATTAGTTCTTTTTGTGTCTTAACTAATCTGTTCACAAGCTGAAGTCAAGAAAATATTATCCTATCTTATCTTCTAAAAGCTCATAGTTTTTTTTTTTGTTTGTTTCTTCACCTTTTAGTTTTTAACCCGCCTAAAACATATCTGTGGTATGTGACTTTAGGCAAATTTTCCATTCCCCATATGAACAAACAATTTTCCCAATACAACTTGATAAATTTATTTTTCCCAGATCTGCAGTGACATCTCTGTCTCCTTTATAGTCACATTCCACAAAAGCTTTGCCTGCTCTTGGTCTCCCTAATTCCTCCACTGTCCTCTCTATTCAGGATATTTACCTCTCATTTCAATGATCTTTATGTGGATAAATCAAATCTTTCAGGGCCATCAGCACAGTTTTTGTTTGTCTGTTTTTTTCCTTGTTTTGATATAACTGTCTATTCCCTCGATTGAAGATGTGTGTTTTGTTTTGTTTTGTTGCATTTTCATCTGTCTTCAAGTACACCATACTGATGGCTTTTCCTAACTCATTGTTTTGTTTTTCCTTTTAATTTTTTTTCTCCTTGTGTCATTTCTCCAGGCCCACTTCTTAATACTGGAGGGCTCCTAGCTCAGTTATGGGTCCTCTTCTTTTTTTTCCTGTACCTTTTCTCTGTTAAGCTCATTGGGGTTCTTAGCTATAAACATGTATCTATATAATAATATCTATGTATTAATGACTGCAGTTCAAAGCAAACTTGGCATTCACCAAACTGATCTGTGCCTCTGTCTTCCCACCCTAAACTTCCTGCAACTGCGTCTTTCCTTAGGCCCACTGGTAGGAGGTCCATAATTTCAGTTGCTCAATCCAAGCCCTTAGAGTTGCCCCTGGTGCTTCTCTTTCCCTTGAAACTGACATCCAACTAGTAAAGGAATCCTGTTGGCTCTACCTTCAGAAGACACCTAGGTTCCAACCATTTCTACAATATGTTCCTGCTTTACCTAAATCCTCTAAGGGTTATTTCTAAAGCAGCAGTTGAAGAAACGTCAGATCATGCCACTTTGGTGATTAAAACCCCACTGCAGCTCACCGTTTATTGGGAGTAAAATCTAAAATTCTTACAGGAAGCTCTACAGGGCCCTTTTACATGCTCCTCTGCCCCATTGCCTCTTAGATGTCTGCTTGTGCCACTGTTTCCCTCACTGCTCTAGCCATCCTGGCCTTCTTGTCATTCTTTGAATAAGCCATGTACACTCTCACCTCAGGCCTGTCCTACCAGTTTTGTTTTGTTTTTTTTTCTCCACTTGGGATCCCTCCCACCCCAACACTCTCTTCAGGGCTAAATTCTTTATGTCCTCAAGACTGCATGAATGTTATCCTTCCAAAGAGATCTGTACTATCGATGACATTGTAAAAAGCAACAAACATTACCACAGCTTCAGCAATTCTTTCTCTCTCTTAATCTACTTTTTCCCTTTCTCTATACCATTTGACATTGACAGACTATATAGTTAACTTCTTTCTTCTGTTTGTTATTGTTCACTGCCTCTGGGCTACATGGGCAGCTTCATGAGGACAGGCACCTATTTTGCAAACAAATATATCCCAAGGGTCTTAATAGTTCAACAGATGGCTGTACATAGTATAAATTCGACAAACATTTGTCAGATGAAATAAGGTTTCATAAAATTTCTGTAGATACATGGACCTATTTCTGAACTCTTTATTCTTTTTTTTTTTTTTTTTGGTTTATTTGTCTTGTGATGTGTGAGTTGTATACTGTTTAACAGTTTAACTTTGAAAGTAAATCTGAATTTCTGGTATGACAATTTATCTGCATTGTTCTTATTTAACATTATCTTGGCTGCTATTCTTGGCTCTTTGATCATCATTTTAAGAATCAGCTTGCCAGATTGTATTCATATCCTCCGGCTATCTATCTAGCTATCTGTCTATCTTGGGAGAGAGAGAACATTGAATCTATATCTCTAACTGTAGTTCTGGCTCTAAGTATCTATCTTCATTAATCTCTGAATCTATTTCTATTTCTTCAGTATCTCAAACAATCAGTTCCTTTTTAAACTCCCTTTATTATTATGTTAAAGTATTTCAAGGTAAATAGCCAGTGTTTTGTCATTCTAGCCCCAACCATATTCCTATGCATCCATGAAAAGGGAGAACAGTGCACCAGTCTGCTCACACTGAGTCCTTCATAGGACTTACCTACAACACCCCAAAATCTCAGTGACTTACACAACAAATGTGTATGTCTCAACTTATAGAAGATACCATTCAAAAGAATTTCAAAATTATTTTTGAAATTCAAAAGAATTAAAATCACGAACTCAGAAAATTGTACAACAGAGTTCATAGCTCCATTATTTACGATAGCCAAAAGGTTGTGTCCATCAATAGACAAATAAATGAGCAAAATGTGATATATACAAACAATGTGATACTATTCTGCCTTCAAAAGGAATGAAACTCTGATATTTTCTGCCACATGGATGAACCCTGAAAATGAAGTGAAGTAAGTATAAAGGCAAATATTGTATGATTCTACTCATTTGAGGTACCCTGTTGGAGGCCGAAAGAGTGAGGGTCGTGATCAACTGAGTACCCCACTGGAGGCTGGGTGAGTAAGCAGCAAAACTGCTTCTCATAAATGCAGAATGTTGGCAAACTGACAAACTGCGTTTGCCACACAGAGGTTATGCTGAGGGCGGTCACGCCCCAGGCACAAGTGTTTCTTGTTATTAGGTACGTCTGAAAGTCTGATAGCAATGATGTGAACCTGTAATCAATCAAGTAGCTGACCAATTGTGACATCCTCCTCCCTGCTCTTTCTACCCAATAAATACGGAGGGCTGAGAAGCTCGGGCGGCTGCCTTTACTGACTAGCAGCTGGGATCTCTCTTCTTCCCCTAAGCGAGCCTTTCCTTAAAACCATTTTCTTCTGTCTTTTGTTACTATTTCTACGTTCATTTCTTCATTCAGTCCTGTAATGATGGTCTCAAGTAGTAATTGTACAAGTCTGTCACAAGTGGTGCCTGAACAGGGGCATCTAGGGACAAGTATAGACCTGAAGAGGCCTGGAGGGATAAATAGATTAGCAGGGATAGAGAGAAAGAGTATAGGTAGGGAAAGACAGGAACTTGCAGGAACTAACAGGGACCATGGGGACAGATAGGGATAGATAAAGACTAGCAGAGACCAGCAGAAACTTGCAGGGACAGACAGGGTCCTATAGAGACTTGAACGAGGAAGGTCTGCTGGAACAGAAACTAAAACTAGCCAGACAAACGAGAAGCCCCATTACAAGTCTGCCAGCAGCAACATAAGGCTAGTGCTCTAAAAAGGTACTTGTCAGTGCCCCAGAGGTTTGAAGAACGGGAAGTTTTTGAATCAGGGTAGCATGGGGAAGAATTTGGTTATTTTTTTCTTTCATTTGGAGTTTGGTACATACCTTTTCTGTTATTTCAGGGCCGGAGAGACTATTTTGCCCCACTTAGAGCACCTATCAAAAGTGGTAAACGAGGGAGAATGAAAACTGGCTGGCAGCATCTTTTGTGGCTACAGAAATGCTCACTTTGACTATGGCTTATGAGGCTACAAATGTGGATTGGGAACGTGCAGTGGCACCTGTGAGGTGTGCAGAAAGTTCAGGAGGTTTTCTTAGTTTTTCAAGATGTGGGAACTGAGCTTCACTACTTTATAATGTTGATTCAGGCAACGGATAATTTTGGTAGTTGACGGATCTAAAAGGAGCCAAGGGTTGAGCCCTAGAGTGGAAAAGCTGTAAGTGTAGAGAATCGGACGTTGCAAAAGAGAATGCCGTCAGACCTCTGGGCAGAAGGGGTCTTTAAAACAGTTCTCTTCTCAACAGAAAAAGTGCCAGGACTTTGCCCTCGTTGAAATAAGGGAAATCACTAGGCTAATCAATGCTACTCTATATTTGACCAGAACGGCACTCCCTGTGGGGAAACCAGAAGCGGGCCTGGACCTGGGCACCTCGAACAAGGGGGCTTCCCCAGTCCAGGCCGCAACTCCGTTTCAGGGGGGTTTCTGGAGGTGCTTTGACTCCCCCTCCTCAAGCACCAGGAAGCCCAGGATTAGATCTCCCAAATGAACGGGTTTAGGGGAAAGCAACCGGCCTTGGAGGGGGAAAGCAACCGGCCTTGGCGGGGAAAGCAACCGGCCTTGGGGGGGAAAGCAACCTGACTCACACTGGCGTTTGGGACCTTTGCCAACAGGATAGGTGGGATTAATTTTAGGCAGAAGTCATCTTAACTTGCGGGGCATTACTGAAGTCCCAGGAGTTCTTCGGCTTATGGAGAAATTCAGGTAGCGGTCATGTCCCAAGATCTCTGGGTTTTGAAGCAGGAGAATATATTGCGCAGCTGTTGCTCATCCCCTGTAAATTGTACCCTTCTCTACGTAAGAAGCGAGGAGGTCAGGCATCTGCAAGTACAGCTGGGAGAAAGCTATCACAACCCACAGCATCTAACAGACCCGCCTGTGTAAGTGCAAATGGAAGGTTTAAGGATTGCTTTTTTGCTACACTGTTGCACGAGAAGGATAAGCCTCAACTTGTTTTCTCTGTGCCTTCTGTTCATCAGAAAAAGCTGCTTTCACTATCAACGGAAAGTTTTACCCCGCAGCAATTAGGCCAAGAGGCAGAAGCTGCGCCGCAGCTTGTGGAGCGGAGGCCTCGGCAATGGCCTGGCTCCCGGCTGCAGCCCCAGAAAGCTTTTTGCTTTTGTAGAGTTACTAACGTGGGGACAGGACATGCCTGTGTCTTTACAGGAGATGAACCGTGTGGGTGCCCTCGGGACCGAGGGCCGACCGCAGTCCCGCTGACCTCAACCCCCATAATACAGGGACAGACATAATTTAAAAAAGGGTTGGAGGCCGAAAGGGCGAGGGTCGCGATCGGCTCGGTTTACCACTGGAGGCCGGACGAGTAAGCAGCAAAACTGCTTCTCACAAATGCAGAATGTTGGCAAACTGAGAGACTGCGTTTCCGCGCGGAGGTGGAGCGGAGGGCGTCACGCGCAGGCACGAGTGTGTCATTAGGTGCGTGGGAAAGTCCGATCGCAACCATGTGCACCTGCGATCAGTCACGCAGCTGATCAATCGTGCGTCCTCCTCCCTGCTCCTACTCGATCCATGCGGAGTGCTGAGAAGCTGGGGCGGCTGCCCTTGCTCACTAGAAGCTGGGAGCTCTTCTTCCCCGAGCTTAGCCTTCGAACAGTGTTTTTCCCCCACTTCTACCTCCCTTCGCTCAGTCCTGTAATGAGCATCTCAAGCAGTAACAGTAACTGCGGTAGTGACCGTCTCAAGTAGCAATTGTACAGGTTTGCTACAGTACCTAGAAGAGGAAAATCCACAGAAACAGAATACACCTTACCCCAGAGATGAGGAAAAGGAGAAAATACAGTTAATGTTTAATGGGTACAGAAGATTTGTTTGGGATGAGGAAAAAGTCCTGGAGATGGATGGTGGTGATGGTTGTATCAACCTAAAGGAAAAAACTGAGGCAAAGTTAACACGCATATTTGGACCAAGATTGGGAAATGCAATCTGAGGAGACAGATTCTAGTAGCCTTAAATAAATGCTCCAACTAACAGCAGTTATAATGGGGCCTCTAAGGGAAAAGGGAAGTTCTAAGCTGACATAAACTATTGATCAACTAGACATTGTTCTTTTGTAGCTATTGATAAGCTATACACTATTCTCTGTAGGGAACATGAAGATGGTTGGTAAAGGTCATATTGTACAACTTGTAACATTTTAGGTAACTTATCAGCTAGTCTGGAAACTTCGGGGGAGCGGGGGGAAGTATAAAATTCCTTTAAACAACCCCAGGTGCGCATGTGTGAGCAGGGCTGGGTAGGGAAGTTATTGAATTCTCATGCTCGCGTCTCTGAGCCTAAGACGTTTTGTAAAGCTCACATTCTTCAGACTGCTCTGAATCATTTTTCTCAGTTTCAAATATTTTCTAAGGTCAGCTTTTGGGGAAGCTAAGGCAGGTCATATATGAAAGTAATTTAACAGTGGCTTTCTCAGATTGGACCTCAATCCTAAACAAAGGGGAAAGACCCAAAGAATTTTCTAAACTACCAAAAAACTTAAAAAATTTCAACCAACCATACTAGGATTGAATCATCTCTTCTTGCTTATAGAAAATATTAGAGTACATAGTAATGTAGCCAGTTGTTGGAAAAAATGGTAAAAGTGGTAAGTTCAACCAGTTAAGATTTAAGTTGAGGTGTTTATGTATTTCTTCGTGGTATTTTGTCAGCTTTCTAAAGGTGTAATTTTGTTGGAGTTTCACTGAAGAGAATATTATACCTGTGCAATCATGATTTGTAGCCTGTTTTCTTAAGATGCCCCAGATTGCATAAGCTTCAGCCTCAGAAAACCTGAATTCCAACCCCCACTAACTTAAACACCAGTGAGGTAAATATGAATTACATGAAAGCCAAGATCATGCAGGCATAGATTGCAGCACAACAAGACTGCAGGGTCTAAAATTCCCCCCCACCCTTCCCGCTCCCCCCAGGAATCGTTGTGGGCCCTTTTGAGAATACTGGATGAGAAAAGGTCTGTCTTCTTGAAGTAACTCAAAGATCTTATATACACTGAGATTAGTAAAATGAATATTTTTAAATGCTTGCAATGCTGAAAGTTTTATGTATTACAAGTTACAAGAAAGACAGGATGATTACATACTAATACTTGAGTGATGGGGAATGGCCCAAAATGTATCTTTTGCAAGACAATACTTCCTTAGAAACATTGATTTCTATTTCAAGAGAGATGCCTGAAAGTTGGAAGTGTAAAAAGAGAAACTTTCAAAACAATGTCGTGAACAAAGTAAAAGAGAAAAAAGCAATTTAAGTTGCAGCTGCCAGCAACCTGACTTATCTTGGGTGTTTACTTTGTAAATTGAGAGGTTACATTTTTCTTAAGGAGTCTGTCACATTTTATATGAACTGTAATTGCAGGCTAGGGACAAGGACCCCAGAGACAGTGATGTCAATGTATCTCCTGAATGGGAGTACTAGCCATCACCATGATGCAAGCTCTATTTGTCACTGGATCTCTATCTTAACAGCCTGCATAATGCAGCTGCTGTCAACTGACATTAGGCATTTACAGATTCAGGCTGTTCTATTTCTCGATCTTCAAAGGATTCACCTATCACTGTATTTTAAAAAGTCTCAATAAGTTAGGGACTGACCCTTATCCTTCTGCCAACAAGATGTAATTCCCACGCCTAATCCACTGTACCTTCTTGTTTGAATTCATACTCTCCCTGCCTGTACTCCCCTGTTTCAGTTCAGAAAACAAGTTTGAAATACAGAACATAGAATACCTCCAGTTTAGAAAGTCTGATGTATGCCTCTTAGTTCCCCATACTTACTACATAAAAGGAAATGCTGAACAATTGCATGTACTACCTTAGTTCTGTAAGGTTTCTCTCTAAATATTCAGATCATCGTGTTTGGGGAAGATACTGTGTAAGGTAAGTTTGCAGTCTTGATGCTGATCAATCGCAGGATGCTTTAAATAGATTCTGGACTTACTAGAAAGTTTTGGTTCAAACCAGAGAAATACTGGAGAATGTTGAAGTTTGATACATCTGATTTTGAACTGCAGATACTTGTGGATAGTACTAATATACAAATCTTAGATAATTCAATCTCGTTTCTTAGTAGTTATGGACTCTTATCTTTTCTGTACATCAGAATGTAGCAGATTACTTGAATTCTATGCAGATCTGTCTGCATAATGATTCCAACAGTTTTTATCATTGCAACATATATTCACCTATAATTTTAAAATCTTTATAAAGAGCTTATCTAAATCGTAGTATTCCACCTTGTTAGGTACCTCATAAGCATCTCTAAAAATGGTTTAGTTAGGAAGACCCTCCATATCCTGCTCCGAGAAACCATTGCAGCATACTTAATACTTAGAAGTTCCCAGAAGCTGAAAAGAATGTGAGTGGCTTGCCAGACGTCCAGAAGCTTATCAGTGATGAAGATAGAATATAAAGCCAGCTTTGATTAAAAACCATGTCATGTAGCATTGTGAACATTAAACATGCCAAGAATGTTTCAAGGGTTAGGAATAGACAGGGGAAGAACTCAGTTCAACTTCTGTAGAGACTGAAGGTGATCATGCCCTTGGTCTGCTTCAAGACAATCCCTCGGCCTTAATCAAAACTTCTCTATCGTTCTAAAGATTCCCCAAGTGATTTTACTTTAGTTGTGGAAGAAAAGCCATTTTCTAGAAGTGACACTTCATGTGAAAATACTGCTGGGGAGGAAACATAATGAATCTGATTGTACAGAGAATTAAATGTCTTATAGTCAGGGTCACCATTTAGCCCTGTTTTCTCAAGATATTCCCTTTCTTATGCCTGTTGTCCTCATGTCCTGTCTAGCTTAGCCTTTTAGCACTCAAACGTATTCTGAGTTAGATGGTCACCAAGAATTGTGCCAATCTTTGATGCAGAGCAGGGTCTGACAGAACGACAACAAAAATGAAAAAGTAGAAAACTTGGCTACCTGCTGCTGGACCTGCTATTGAAGAGAAAAACATAATGGACAGCAAAGGGTGAGATTCCCAAAGCTAACTGTCGCTATCACAGTCTTAAGGTTAACCTGGCACTCATTTTTAGTACTCGCTTTTTATACCAGAATTTGTACATGCAACAAGGGTGAAAACTAATTTTACCCATGACAGTGTTCCCACATTTCCAACAGTTCTCCTTGTTACTTAGGTCATTCCTGCTCATCATTCACACTTGAACTCCTGCTTATTTGAAGAACTCCAATTAGATAGAATTCACTGGCATGATCTTAAAGTACAAATTTATCATGGTTGATCTCATAAACCAATGGTTGCATAGTTTTAATGTCTAGACCAAAGATTTTAAGTGCATAGAAAATTACATTAAAAATTTTAAATTGTATATTAATCACATACCTCGATGGAAAATATTTTTTTTCAAAAATCCAGCACACAGAATGAAAATGTCTGAAATATTTCAAAACTTTTTGGCCTAAACATCAAAGTTACAATTACATGTATGTAACTCGGGGGGCAAAATAGCTGCACTAAATTGAACAAAAGAATAGTCTATAGATTTTTATTTTTTATTAATAATCTTGACAAATCACCTATATAGAAAAGGTCATGAAAAATCAAAATAGCCAAAATATACACTATGTTCAATTTTTTTCATAATCAAATCCATATTGTGAGTTTCGATACTAGTGCTAAATGCTGGGGCAAGCATGATGCTGCCGCAAGTGTGTTCTCTTACTGTTAAGCATTTAACAACTTGGTGATAAGCTTCTAAAGCATAGTAAACCATTGTCCATGAATTATGCCAGAGAATTCACCTCATAATACTGCATATAAGCAAACTCAACAACGTGAATGTGAACCAAGCTGAGTGTCTCATATTCAATCACAGCAATAGTCTCTATAAAGACTGGGAAAGATGTGCTAAATATTAAGTATACATAGAACTGGACGTTTACTAAGGTTTGGAATTATGCATAGACAATTATTACATGGGGCATGGTATAATCCAGTTGATTCCTTTATTTTCCAAGTATTCTTAAATGTTGCTATACTGGGTAACTCTTAAAATACAGTGAATGAATCAACACTACCAGAGTTGGAAGATGGTTGTAAAATCTGAGTGGTTATGGAGCCACTCATATCTCCCCTTTCCCTTTGTGAAGTAAGCTGGGGAGATCCCCAGAGTCTCATTAGCAAGTTTCAGGGCCAGGAGTATTCATGGTCAGGGTTCAGGACACAGCTGCCCTGATAAGGATATTTTTGGACCAATTTTTTCGTCTTGGGCTTTAATATTCCCAGTGGACCAATAGCAGTCACTGTGGCTGGTCCCCAGTAGGTAGCCACCATTCTCTGAATTTACTGTGAAATAACAAGCACGGCCCTCCAAGGATCTTGTTCTTATTAAATTATGGACAACCAGGTCTGGGTGAGCATTCAGCACTCTCCATCATACGAATTGCTACTAAATGTTTGCCTTTAATTTTCCCACTGGCTTAACAGTTTTTAAAATAATAAAGATACATTATAAATCAGCTGATGGAAAGCCCTGGCATAAAGCTGGTAATATTTCAAGAATGAGAACTGAAAAATGCATAAGGATATAATGTGGGTTTCATCAGTAAAAATCTGAATTTTCATCGTTTTCCATCCATCCACTGTGGCATGGTTGTGGTGGAATGTACTGAGGGGCCCTGGTGTGAAGTTCCTGTCTACCAGCCAGTGGGCTGCAGCTTCCATCATTTTTATTGTCCTTTGTTCACATACCAAGTAAGTCAAAACTGCTGAGGTCTTAAAACCATTCTGAAAGTGCACCTGTGGTCACACAACACACGTTCATGTGCCTCAATTCTAGGCTCGAAGACAGATGATGTCTTACATTCTTTCAGGGTCTTTCAGAATATCAAACTTTGGCTTACCCAATGTGCCTCTCGGGAAATATTTACGGAATGAATTGATGTCTACTTTGTCCTGTTGGAAAACAGCATAGAACAAATTATACTGTCACTGTTTAAAGAACAATGTTCCTCCTTGGGGAAGTTTCCTTAAGCCTCATTTTCAACTGTAGAATGGTCTAGTATCTTACACAGTTGTTTGGAAATGTAAAATTTACGAATCAGTTATTAATGTTCTTACTGCTATTTGCAGGTGAATGCATATACAAGTAAAGCCATTTTTCTAATTTGGTACACACCTAAATTTTTTGGCTCAATTCTAATTTGTGGTGTTTAATTCTGGAGGACTTGTTTGGATGAAGGTAATTGGAGCTGTCATATTCCCAGGAATAACTCTAACCAGTGCTGCCTAGTAGAAATCCTAGGGGAGCCACAGAGAATTCTAAATTTTCTAGTAACCACATTAAAAATGTAAAGAATAGGTGAAACTAATTTTAATCTATATTATCCAAATATATCTAAAAGTTACCATAATATAAAGTTTTAAGAAGACGTGTTGCATATATTTTTAACAGGTGTTTGAATTGTTAACTTTGTGCTGATGGCACATCTTGATTTGGAGCAGTCGTGTTTCAGGGGCTCCACAGCTTCATAAGCCTCATGGCTACCACCCTGGATAGTGCAGATCTATATGATGCAGGGAGAAGCTATCCAAATAACTCATAAGTGGTCCTAAATTGTGGTAAAATATTTAACTGATATGGATACATATGCAGAATCTAACTTCAAGTTTGAGAGATCCCTTCTTTTGGGATACACTAGCTCTAATACTTAAACTAGTTTATTTTTTCATAAGTTAAATGGGATTCTAACATTTTAACGAGTTGTATGTTAATAATCGGTAGTTTGCTGCTGCAAGAAGGAAAGCAAACACCACTTGACCCTCAACGTTTTCTCCCATGATTTTTCCTCCTATGAATTCTTGGATGACTTCTCAGAACTCAGCTCTTTTTATTCAACACAGGCTCATTCTGCAATACTCCACCTGATACATGTAAGTTGAGCACTCAAATTTTACAATGTACAAGTGTGTCAAGAATGGTGTAAATTAGGTCAAATAATGCAGTTATTCTTCCATAGGCAAATATATACTCGTGGTGATCTTCAAACTGGATTCTAAGTGTGAGAACTAGAGTCTAGTATAAGGAGAGCAGTGTAGGATGTGGACAATCCTCCTTTCCTCCCCACCACCCTATCCTATTGAATCAGGCTGGTTCCATTCTTATGTCTTATATGCATCCTCACCAATGTAAGGTGGTACTCGAAAGACAGAAATAAATGGTCATGAACAAAAAGATTGTTTGATCATGAACTCTAAATAGTAATCACCAAATCAAGAAAATCCTTAAATGAACAATGATGGTATAATGAGATGTAGCACAATCCTGCTCAGGCAGTTCTCTCAGGGAAATTATGAGCTTCAAGAAATAAGATTTTGACCTTGGTTTCATGACTACATCATAATGTTTTATGTAAATCAGATACCTTTCCAACTTTATCATATCTCTTTCGTGTACCCTACAGAGCTATGGAGCAGAGCAATTATTCCGTGTATGCCGACTTTATCCTTCTGGGTTTGTTCAGCAACGCCCGTTTCCCCTGGCTTCTTTGCCCTCATTCTCCTGGTCTTTGTGACCTCCATAGCCAGCAACGTGGTCAAGATCATTCTCATCCACATAGACTCCCGCCTCCACACCCCCATGTACTTCCTGCTCAGCCAGCTCTCCCTCAGGGACATCCTGTATATTTCCACCATTGTGCCCAAAATGCTGGTCGACCAGGTGATGAGCCAGAGAGCCATTTCCTTTGCTGGATGCACTGCCCAACACTTCCTCTACTTGACCTTAGCAGGGGCTGAGTTCTTCCTCCTAGGACTCATGTCCTGTGATCGCTACGTAGCCATCTGCAACCCTCTGCACTATCCTGACCTCATGAGCCGCAAGATCTGCTGGTTGATTGTGGCGGCAGCCTGGCTGGGAGGGTCTATCGATGGTTTCTTGCTCACCCCCGTCACCATGCAGTTCCCCTTCTGTGCCTCTCGGGAGATCAACCACTTCTTCTGCGAGGTGCCTGCCCTTCTGAAGCTCTCCTGCACGGACACATCAGCCTACGAGACAGCCATGTATGTCTGCTGTATTATGATGCTCCTCATCCCTTTCTCTGTGATCTCGGGCTCTTACACAAGAATTCTCATTACTGTTTATAGGATGAGCGAGGCAGAGGGGAGGCGAAAGGCTGTGGCCACCTGCTCCTCACACATGGTGGTTGTCAGCCTCTTCTATGGGGCTGCCATGTACACATACGTGCTGCCTCATTCTTACCACACCCCTGAGCAGGACAAAGCTGTATCTGCCTTCTACACCATCCTCACTCCCATGCTCAATCCACTCATTTACAGCCTTAGGAACAAGGATGTCACGGGGGCCCTACAGAAGGTTGTTGGGAGGTGTGTGTCCTCAGGAAAGGTAACCACTTTCTAAACAAATTGCATATGCTGCTAGAGACTTGAAATGAAGGATACAAGACTTTATCATTGCCCTTGAGTTTAAATATTCTCTGCCTGGAAACAAGTGACCCACATGCCAGCAACTGTGGGGCATTTATGGGATTTGGAAAGCTGCCTGGGATTTTTAAGGATTTCATTTTTTTGAAAGGTATGAAGGCTCTGAACAATGAACAGTTTGGGCTGGGGTAGGCATAAAGCTGAGGTTTAGTAGTCACCCATGAGCTCTTAACAAGGTGTGTATTCCACTAAAAATCATGGACTAGCCTGTTTCTGGCTCTGCTCAGTCATGGCAAAAACGGTCATCTTCAACTACTTCCCTGACTTCTCTCGACTTTTCCCCTTTAGACAGTCTGTCCATTGACCATTATAAAGAATCAACTCAAATATTATATTTCAAATATAGCAGTCACCATCTTATCCTCAGGCTGTGTTCTAAGTCTTTTGGGGGAAGCCTGAAACCATAGTATAGAACTATAGAACCTGACTGCTGTCAGTCACAACATATTTGCTCATCTTCTACCATAAATGTAATACGTTTTCTTTCTTACCTAAGCACTTATCACACACTGTGGCTGTAGGTTTTGCAGTTTGAGGTGTGACAGCAAAATTACCACAAATGTGTTTTTCCTCCTACACAATTTCAAAGAAGATTCATTCTTACTGTAGATCTTGGCAATCTCAGCATATTTTTCTTGCCAGAACCTCCAGTTAAGAACTTATTAGAATGTGTCTCTGATAATGGTTTGGCTGTTTCCCCACCCAAATATCATCTTGAATTGTAGCTCCTATAATCCCCATGTGTAGTGGGAGGGGCCTGGTGGGAGTTAATTGAATCCTGGGGGTGGGTTTTTCCCATGCTGTTCTCATGATGAATAAGTCTCACGAGATCTGATGGTTTTACAAAGGGTGGTTCCCCTGCACATGAGTCTTGCCTGCTGCCATGTAAGACATGCCTTTGCTTCTCCTTCACCTTCCACCATTGGCTGTGAGGCCTCCCCAGCCATGTGGAACTGAGCCCACTTAACCTCTTCATAAATTACCCAGTTTGGGGTGTTTTATAGCAGTGTGAAAATGGATTAATAGTCTGTTTTTCAGAGACATGAGCAGAGGGCCAATATCTTTAGAAATATAGAACACTTAAAAATTAAGTCTTATAGGAGCTAGCAAGGTTTTGCCAAATACAGATTCACCCAAAAATGTCAAGTGGCACTTTGGAATGGAGTGAGAGTGGGCAGGCAGAATTATCTGAAATTAAAACAATCTAAACTCCAAACTGTGGGAGTCAGTCTTGGCTTGTAGCAACCAAGTCTATACCTACTGATGATATAAAAAGGATTACTTCCTGAAGAGAGTTAAAGGGAAGGAAAAGAGAAAAAGTGAATAAGAAACATGGAAGATTGAGACACCACAAAATACCTCTTGTAAAAAGTCTAAATTATATAAGATAACTAAGTTCAACACTAGACAAAGTATTGTGACACATGAACATGAGTTAGAAACTAATACCAATCAATACACTGTTCACAGGTCTGTTTTTTCCTTAAGTTGGGCTTGTATTAACAATTTTCCAAACTGATACAGCAGCACTTCTCAAACGCTTTCATGACATAACTATAAAAATTAGTGATATGGCACCTTGAGGAAAACTGATGTGGCTGTTGACAGCAAAATCAACTCCCCTGTGGCTGTAGCCAAATCGGGCACTGAAGACCAATCCAGGGTTGAGAGGATCAATATTGGTTGTAACCCATTTGTGGCTCTGGAGAAAGACACATCACACCAGAGGGAAGAGTGTATCCAATCAATCCAATAGTTAGTTGGAGAACTTTATTTATGGATGACATATAAAATATTCAGGAATTATTGAATAACATTCTAAAGGCTGAAAAAGGGTATGGGTTTTCTGCTTATCTGCAACAGAGGGTATAAGGTATGTGTCCAATGGATTTGTGATGACTAGCAATCATAAGTAATGTTGCCCATTAGCTGACTTAATGCATGAAAAGCATTCAATGATGTTGTTTGGGAAGCAGAACTTTAGTAATAAGACCACCTTCTTTTCCCCATTAGAGAAATAAATGTTAGGAAGTTCAATTTTCCTAATGTTTAAATATCTTAATGTGCTCTGGTGAAAACTTTAGAAAATGCATAACTTGTATTACCCTCACTTTTTTCTCTACCAATTGCGTTATTTCCATCATTTTTCTTATGTCTCCTTTATTCCTACTGAGGTCAATATTCTTCTGTAGTACACGTAAGACAAATAATTCTGAAAAACACTTAACCTAAGTGACAAATGCCACTTTTGTGAAAATAGAAGATAGGAGAAAGTAGAAGGAAAATCTCTTGGGACCCAAACTCACTAAGCCAAAGGGAAAAGTCAAGCTTGGGAACTCTGTCATGCAAAACTATATTCCATATCTGTTCCCGACTGTATGGCTACAGATTCCATACTGTTCCGGAATGGACAGCTACACAGGTAGAAGGCTACATACCTCCCCAAGGGACCTCCCTCACAATCTGCTAGCAAGGAAATTCCTTGCTGGCCCAAAGATCTTTACCCGAAAACCATTCTCTTGAATTGTCATGCTGACAATGTAAATGAATGGCTTATCTTGACAGGCAGTGGACAAAGACAGGCCTGGGAGTCATCCCTCCACTCCCCTGAAACAAATGCATATTTGACTGCTTCCTCTACTGTGTACCTTATCTTATATACAATCCAGATTCACTGAGCAGGAGATGAACGCCCAGTTGAGTGTTCCTCTAAACCCTCTCCTGTCACATCTAAAGTGCGAATTCAGTCAACACTGATTAAAGCCTGCAAAGAAGGAAACTACTTCATTTATTCACACTTCCTTTTTCTTTTTTTTCCTCTAATGCCCACTGTTTCCCTTTTAAATATTGAAGTCTCCCAACCGTCTTTGGAAGAAGCACAAATCTCAGATGCTCCTGTCATATTGTGTTCCTTTTTCCCAGGTGCATCCTCAACCTTGGCACCAGAAACATCTACATTGATTGAGACTTGGCTCCAATGCTTTTTGGTTCACACTTATTTATAACTTTAAAGATTTCTCCCCAAACAAGAGGCCAGTGACTTTTGAGAAAGAGCTTTTTTAGTTTGTCATAGCCTCTATTTCTAAAGAAATTTAAAATCTAATTTTCAATTTAGAGCGAGGCTCTTATCCCCACATCACTGCCTTTAAAATCTCTCTGGAGAGATGCCAAGATTCAGTAAGACATTTTCATGATGAAATACCAAGAAACGATTCCAGTCCTTCACTTGGGAAAACAATGCACCCTCTGCAAGAAAGGACAGGCTGCTTCTAAAGTTCATGGTAAACCCAGTCAACTTGGATTAATTGCTAACCCAGGAATTCTTCCTGGGGGATGTGGGACTCTATTAGTGAAAAGACTTTTTGACCTAGCCTCACCCCTACACAATGTATTTAATAAGAAGTCTGACATTCCACTACTGCTTTAGAAAGACTTGGACCCAGCTTCTCTGAGGTAGGATCCTTAGATCTTCATGAAAAACAGAACATCACCCAGATACTGGGATGTTTTCTTCAGGTATTACTCTGTAACTATTAGAAGGCCACGTTACTACTGTGAGCTTATCTGCTAATAACTGAGGCAGTGGTCTTCTCAAGATTAAGCATAAATAACATATATTCACTATCTGGCAAGCAGACAACTGGAAAAGGGCATTTAGCATGAAACGTGGGAAGCTAAGGGAAATGTAATAGTTTAGAAGAACATGAATAGATTTACTGAAGGAAAATGGCATGTAAGAGCCGACAGTTAGAAGAATGTGCTTGGTATTCACAATGAGAAAGTTTCAGAATTAATTGGTAGCAGGGGTGCATACTATTGGATAAGCATAGATTGCCCTCTGAATATTTTGTTAAAATTTTAATTTACATTTTAAGTTAAATGATTAATTGCTCCGTTCATATGCATTTAGGTGTGGCTGAAGACTTCATGCTTGGAGGGAAATCATGATTTTTTTTTTTCATTTTAACCTCCTTCCTCTTTTATTGAACCCATAAGGCATCCACGTGTGCCTTAAGATCTTTTTTTTTAATAAAACTATTAGAGGTCTCCTAGAAGCCATCTTAGCATGGCATATAAAAGCCTGTTGAGCTGAGTAACTGGAGCCCAGGGGGAGATGTGGACATGTTGGAAGCTCAGGCTGTAGGGGTATAATAATGAGTGCATTGTGTTTATAGTTGCAGGTGTCTGCCCCTTGCTTCAGCTCACCTCACCTCACCACTGCTGTTCCTGTGTAATCCTCCATGCCCTTACTCTCCATTTCCTCTTCCACAGTATTAGTAGGGTGGACTAGATGGGCTCGCCTCGCCTCACCTCGCCTCTGCTGCTCCTGTGTAATCCTCCATTCCCTTACTCTCCATTTCCTCTTCCACAGCGTTAGCAGGGTGGACTGGATGGGCCATATGCCAGATCCTTTGATTTCTATTTGCCACCACACGAACTGACACTGCTGCCCAGAAGCATTCCCCTGCACATCCACATCACAGCCCTCCTGCTGGCAGCTTGGAATTTAGACCTTTTACTCTCAATGCTCCAGGAAACCAGATGTACTTCTTTCTTTCTTGTCCATTGGTGATATCCTTGACAATGTAGTTTAGGTAAGTTGGCATGTAGCATTAAAACCTGTATTCTTCAAACTGAACTAACTTCTGGCATAGTAAGTGTTCAGTAAATGTTCACCTACATGCCATTATAGTGCTGATTTTTTTTTTTTTTTTAAAGCCAAGAAAACTTCTATCTTATGCCTAATTTTCCACACTGAAAATTTCCAAATTGTCAGTTGGGATGGGAGGGAAAGTAGACTACTTTTCCATGAATGAAAACAGTTACCATTTAAATAAATAGGCAGATAAAGGGGGGTGGTAACTAAGGCAGTATGTAATTAGAACTGGAGATAAGGTAAGGGAAAAGAGAAATTCACATCATTGGATACTACGTTGCTGTGGAGAGAAGGGGATAAAATCTGATTAATGTAGGAAGCAAGGTCCAAATGCGTTCATTCATAAAAGCAGACGGAGTACAGGAGTAGCTTGTGTAGGTAGAAGAAGAAAAGGAGTTCCTGGCCAAAGCCCACTGTGGCTATGAACACTTATGAGTAGCAATTAATATTAATCTTGCTTTCAAGACTAAAACTGCCAGGTGGATCTTTCATAAGTACCTTATTTCAGCATGTAACTTTCTGACTGAAACAACTCCCATTTGCACCTTATTTCTCGACGCTGAGTTCTGGTCTCCCTGCCTTCACTTTCCAGCCGCACTCCACCCCACACACCTCAGCTCTCCACGGGCTCTTCAGCTGTAGTTAGACTGGACTCTCCCCTCTCTCTTCCACCCCTAGTGCCTGCTAATTCCCATTTGCGAGCCTTTTGACATTATTTACATTGTCTCTGATCATGTCCTCTCTCCTTCAGTCTCGAGTTTCGGAATCAGACCGGTTTCCCTCTCTACTATTGCACTGTTTAACTGAACTGACTCCTGTCTTCTCCTGGTTCTTGTGATCCACTATTTTCAAAGCAGTGATCACTTAGATGCTCTTTAAAAGTTTCATGCTTTAAGATCCTTTCAGTCTCTAGCCCTAGGGTTGAACCTTTGAGGTAAAGAATTCTGACATGGTATTCCTCTCTTTAACACTTTCATTTCCATAGTTTTAGTTAACCTGCAATCCGCCAGGTTGCTATCTACCATGTGTAGAAAATATTAAATGAAAAATCTCAAATTTTAAATTGCCCACCATTTTGAGTAGTGTGGTGGAAATATCATCCCTCTGTGTAGTTGATTCACACTGTCTATGCTACCCCCTGAGTCATTCAGTAGCTGTCTAGGTTATCAAATCGACTGTGGCGGACTCAGTGCTTGTGTTCAAGTAACTCAGTTTTTCTTAATGGCTCCAAAGAGATGGAGTTAGTGAAGCTGGCGATTTAGATGTGCCAAAGAGAGGCTGTAAGGTGCTTGCTTTAACTAAAAAGGTGAAAGTTCTTGACTTAAGGAGAGAGAAACCCTCATAAGCTGACTTTGCCAAGATCTATATTAAGAAAAACTTTATCTTTGAAATCATGAAGGAAAAAATTATGCAAGTTTTGCTGTCACATCAAACTGAAAAAGTTATAGCCACAGTATATTGTCTTAGGTATTCTATTTTATTATTGTTAATCTCTTACTGTGCCTAACTTATAAATTCAACTTGATCATAGGTATGTATGCATGGGATAAAATATGGTATATATATAGGGCTCAGTACTGTCTGCAGTTCCAGATATCCAGTGGGGGTCTTGAAAACTGTCTCCCACTGATAAGGGGAAACTGTACCTTTGTCCACTACTCAAACTGATGCATAGCATCTTCTGGTTTGCTATGACTTCATGTATGTAAAACTTCTAAAGTACCTGGCACACGTAAAGCCCTATTGGTTTATGGTTTGGGGAATACCAAACTTCCTGTTTCTCTTCCTCCGTCTCTTAGTGCCTTCCACACCATTATCTTCTCTCATAAGCTTTAATCAAAGCAGAAAGATCCCAATATACTATCCTTGGCCCCCTTTTTCTCATTCAGGAACAAATAATCGATGACTCTTAGAGCTATGTGGCACTTAGGATTAGTAACATGTTGGTGACATGCCATTCTTTTACTGAAAGAACACTGAGGTCTGGAGAAGTAACTATGCGTGTCATCCCCAGAGCAATTTGACAGCTGAGCAAAGCACAATGGCATTAGCTGTTATTTGTGGCTAAACACCTTTAAAAAGTCCCCAATATATTTTCATTTTTAGAAATCCCCACTTTAGACTTAAAATGATCTGTTTCTATGAGGATTTTTGATATGATACATTAATCAAACTTAACTATGTGCCCCTTAAGAATATTGTCAGTTCTATCAATCTTCATAGCTCACCCAGTGCTAGGTGAGTGTTTTGAACACGGAATGTGTTTGTGCTTCAGGCATTCTGTCTCTAAGGATGGAATGGAAAACCCTTCCCTTTCAAGCTTTACAGGTACGTTGTGTCAAGTGGAGAAGATCAGTTCTGGTTAGCAGCTTTATTGCCACAGAAAGGACACTGGCAGATACTTCTCATAGCTCTAGTCATGCTGAATTCCCGGAAAGGGGTGTCAGAATGAATTGCTCTAAGCTCTTCTCCCTGGTAGAAGAACCTGTGACTTCTCTTGGAGATCTCTTCAATTTTCGGTGAGTCACCAATTGTTCTTGATTTCTATGGCTTCTCCCAGAACAACTCCAGGGCTGTTGTCCTGAAACATACAGCTTTGATCACCTGGCACCCTGCAGAGATTCTCCTTTCCCTCTTCTCCATGTGGCAGACCACAGGTAGAATAAATGCCTCTTGGCGAGCTCACTCATCCCTCATCCATCAGCCCCAAGTGTGCAGATAACAGATGTGGAGCTCCTGTGCTTGGTGTCCTCCACCTCTCGGCTTGATCTTCCCACCCTCCCATTCCTGCCAGATGATTATGTTGCAACACTGGGTGATGTTATAACTGGTCCTGGGGGTCAGGGGTTCTGGGTTATGTTCTAATCTGCACTGGGGAGAAATCATTCACCGCCTTGAAGAGCCTGAAGCTTTGATCACGCAAATAAAAGCTTTTTCTTTTTCTTTTTCTTTTTCTTTTTTTTTTTTTTTGGAAAGACTAGTTGATGAAGGGGAACCTAAGTGTCTTAGAGTGGAGAATGATGATAGTGAGGGAAAGATGACCTGATGGGGAATGGAATCTAGGATCTTGTATGTGTGAATAAGTCAAACCACACATCGTAATGCTAAATAGCATCAACTCTAATGTTAAAATGTAGATGCTCGGAACTGATGTAAACAGAAGTAACTGATGACATGTTTTGTCCATAATGCAGATATTTTCCCTGTCTACTTGCAATGCCCAGTAGCCTATGGAATAACATTAGGCATGCATTTGAACATGTCACATTTGGTTCTAAATATTGGCTTCATTGAAATGGGTGAATTGCTCGTTTGTGCCAAGCAGTGTAGTTCTGCTCTTTAGCAGGGCCTTTTCCCTACACATATCCCCACCCACTCACAGATGCACACACCACACATACCATGCTCACACACTCACATATGAACACACTACACACACATGTACACACAACGCTCACACTCACAAGGAACCTCTTTTTTTTTTTTTAACACGGTCTCGGTTGTATAAAAATGAGGTGGCTAAAATCATATCTTTCTCCTGTTTCAGCTTTTTTACTCTCCTCTTCTGGGATCCTACAGTAAGATAAGATCTAGGAGTTGAAAACGTTCTTATCCTTTTATCATAGACATTTGAGGCAATAGTGTTTTACCTCCTCTTTGAATACCTTGTGGAGTCTGATTATTTACATGAAACAAAATGCTCTGGTTCATGTTCTGATTCAAAAGTAATTGGTTATTTTCTTAGGTCATTTTCGTTTGTCTCATTCTTGCCTATTTCAGTTCCTCAAAGTATATTTTTAAAAGGATGATTGTCAGCTAACCTAACACTATAGTAATTAATGTATAATATCCATAATGCATTTAACTGAAACAATAGATGTGGGTCAAGACAAACTTACTGTCTGCGAGATTAATATTTTTAATTTCCAACAAGCTATTGCAAAAGCCACTGCAAATGGAATTGTATATTTAAATAGTCTCTTGACCCATGATTCGAAGCTGTGGCTATCACAAGAAAATCTTTCACCTGTTAGAGAAGGCAAAAGTAGCTGACTTTTATCACGCTTGACAGGAGTTAATATTTGATGCTCATGTATTTTTTTCTCCTCAACCAAGGTGTGACAAACTGAAGTTTCAGCACAGACCAACACAAAAATTGCTTTTTTTTCTTTCTCCCTTTGGATGTTTATTCATCTTTTAGGCCTATTACTCATATCTCCATCTCTGAGCACTAAGAAGGAAAACTCTACTGTTGCTATTGTTTTTGCTTCAACATAAGGAGAGTTTATTCCTTGATGCTTCAGGGACTGTAAATTTTGACTATTCTAGAACCAAAAGATTCAGATACATTTGTAGTATTGGTGGCCAAAACGTTTGACAGAAAACAAGTTTCTTCAGTAATCCTGTCACTAAAATGAGAAGAAATACACCATAATCTAATAAAGAAAAATTCATCCCTCAGTATTCCTGAACATATAAAAGGGACACACATTCATATTACTCAAAAAAGCATGAGAATTCATTCCATTGATTCAAGGAATGTTTGATACTGCTGTGTCGCGTCTGAGTTCAGAAATTTCTTTACCATCTATAGTTTTTGTTTTCTTGTTTTGTTTTTTGAGACAAAGTCTTACTCTTGTCCCCCAGGCTGGAGTGCAATGGCACGATCTCAGCTCACTGCAACCTCCGCCTCTCAAGTTCAAGCGATTCTCCTTCCTCAGCCTCCTGAGTAGCTGGGATTGTACAGGCACCTGCCACCATGCCCGATTAATCTTTGTATTTTTAGTAGAGATGAGGTTTCACCATGTTGGCCAGGCTGGTCTCGAAGTCCTGACCTCAAGTGATCTGCCTGCCTCGGCCACCCAAAGTGCTAGGATCACGGGTGGGAGCCACTGCACCCGACTGTAGTTATTTTTACTTATAAACATGAAGGATCAGTAAAATGGTAGAGAAATAAACTTGAGGAAAAAACCCAAGTAGCAGTGGATTACTAGGATGATATAATATTAGGACAGGTTCAGGATGCCACTCTGTCAGAGAAACTCTAACATTTTGGCTAAACAATATTTTAAGATGAGGTCATGATTGAATTCTATGATGCAGCATCTAAATTTTAGCAGAATTCATTGTCAACTGGAAAGACCACCAGGATAACGAAACTAAAGCCCTGTTCTGAAGCAGTTTGTGGTGGTTGTCCTGCCAGATTTATGATCCCCAAATTATTCTGTGAGAACAAATAGACACAAGTTCTCACAGCAGTCCATGCCTAAAAGATGAACTCCTTTTGCAGGACAAAAGTCTAACCACAAGACAGTGTGGCTCCTGACCCCAAATGAGGTCATCTGTACTGCTTTGATGTTCCTGACTTTCATAAAGCTGTTCAGTAACAACAGCAGCCAAAAAAGTCAGTTATCTAGATGTTTTCTATCAATTTAAGTCACAAATAGACGTCTGTGGATGACTCTAGTACAATCATCTCGATGGAGATGCAGAGAGCAATTTAAATTCAAATCATTTCGCTAGGCGAAATGGGAAATAAGGCACAGTAACCACCCTCAGAAAACTTTCAATCTAAAAGTGATAAGATTATGAAATGTATTCAGAAGATAGTTCAAAGTAAAAATCAGATTCTAAACCAGGTACTGTATGAATTACATTTACATCTCACATCCAGCCTGTAGAGTACAGAACTATGATGACCTTTCACAGATGATGAAATTGAGTTGAGATTAATTTTCTGTCCAATATCATACAGATCATTAATACTGAAACCCAGGATTTCAAATGATCCTGAAGTAGGTGATCTTTTCTTGATCTCACGCTGCTTCTGACATACTATTCCTGGTGGGCTCTTCCTACATATCAGGTCGTTAAATAAGCTGCCAGATTTCTGCCTTTACAGCCCAAGGAGCTTGTCATGGACCATGGGCATGGAGGGTCTTCTCCAGAACTCCACTAACTTCGTCCTCACAGGCCTCATCACCCATCCTGCCTTCCCCGGGCTTCTCTTTGCAATAGTCTTCTCCATCTTTGTGGTGGCTATAACAGCCAACTTGGTCATGATTCTGCTCATCCACATGGACTCCCGCCTCCACACACCCATGTACTTCTTGCTCAGCCAGCTCTCCATCATGGATACCATCTACATCTGTATCACTGTCCCCAAGATGCTCCAGGACCTCCTGTCCAAGGACAAGACCATTTCCTTCCTGGGCTGTGCAGTTCAGATCTTCCTCTACCTGACCCTGATTGGAGGGGAATTCTTCCTGCTGGGTCTCATGGCCTATGACCGCTATGTGGCTGTGTGCAACCCTCTACGGTACCCTCTCCTCATGAACCGCAGGGTTTGCTTATTCATGGTGGTCGGCTCCTGGGTTGGTGGTTCCTTGGATGGGTTCATGCTGACTCCTGTCACTATGAGTTTCCCCTTCTGTAGATCCCGAGAGATCAATCACTTTTTCTGTGAGATCCCAGCCGTGCTGAAGTTGTCTTGCACAGACACGTCACTCTATGAGACCCTGATGTATGCCTGCTGCGTGCTGATGCTGCTTATCCCTCTATCTGTCATCTCTGTCTCCTACACGCACATCCTCCTGACTGTCCACAGGATGAACTCTGCTGAGGGCCGGCGCAAAGCCTTTGCTACGTGTTCCTCCCACATTATGGTGGTGAGCGTTTTCTACGGGGCAGCCTTCTACACCAACGTGCTGCCCCACTCCTACCACACTCCAGAGAAAGATAAAGTGGTGTCTGCCTTCTACACCATCCTCACCCCCATGCTCAACCCACTCATCTACAGCTTGAGGAATAAAGATGTGGCTGCAGCTCTGAGGAAAGTACTAGGGAGATGTGGTTCCTCCCAGAGCATCAGGGTGGCGACTGTGATCAGGAAGGGCTAGCAGGGACTCCCACAGCATCAGAGTGGTGACTGTGATCGGGAAGGATTAGCGGGGACTCCCAGAGCATCAGGGGTGGTGACTGATCAGGAAGGACTAGCAAGGACTAGCGCAAACATCTGCGGTGCTGCGGCCAATAACGCAGCTATTACAGAAAATATGGTATTGGTTCTGAAGAATGTTCAGTGTCACTTTCAGCAATTCAAAATTAACAGGCAAAATCATCCTGTTGCAAGGATTACTTAGGAACAGTAGCGAAGTTGGTGAGCATCTCCGCATTAGTCAACTTTGTTCAACTGGATTCACAAACATTTCCAGAGGGCATTCTCAGTCAAGTAGCCCTACAAACCATTCATGGCACGCCAAGCAGCTCTTGGAAGTGCCCATGTTAACATGTGACCATGAGTCCTTCCTGTCTGTATTGCTAACGTGTGATCATGAGTCCTGCCTGCCTGTATTGCTGACGTGTGATCATGAGTCCTGCCTGTCTGTATTGCTAACGTGTGATGAGTCCTTCTGTGTCTGTATTGCTAACGTGTGATCGTGAGTCCTTCCTGTCTATATTGCTAATGTGTGACCATGAGTCCTGCCTGTCTGTATTGCTAACGTGTGACCATGAGTCCTGCCTGTCTGTATTGCTAACGTGTGATCATGGGTCCTGCCTGTCTGTATTGCTAACGTGTGATCATGGGTCCTGCCTGTCTGTATTGCTAACACGTGATTGAGTCCTGCCTGTCTCTATTGTTAACCTGTGATCATGAGTCCTGCCTGTCTGTCTGTATTGCTGACCAACTTTTGAATGGAAATTGGAAGGAGCATTTGCCACCTCCTTGATGACTTAATTTCAAACATTCAATACAAGTAAAATATTTTCTAGTGCTAAATGTGTAGCAATTTTATTAGAAAACATTTAGGAAGGTGATACTATTTTTGGTTCCATGTTCTTAGTTACATTTTATGAATGTTATCACTTACCTCTGAAATTAAATACTTGCCCTGCCTTTATTCACATGGAGTCCAATATATTCCTGGAAATATTGATTCATTGATTGAAAATTGACTCTGCCATTAAGATTGTTACATGGCCAAAAACCTACAAAACTGCCATTTATGCTCAAATTGTTAATAGATAAATGTAGAATGAATAAACCAAGACATTTTATTAGCTAACTTAGTTCCCGTGGAATAAGTTGCTCAATTTTCTTATTCTCAACATCTTCATTGATATGCTGAAGACAAGTATTTTTGTAATTAGTTGGAGTTAGGTGTGGTGCTTTGATAGATGTGTAACTTTGGTGGAATACTAACTAAGCAAAGACTACACTGACCCCACCATTCATGTAACTTTAGTTTCTCCTGTGTGTAAGGTCCTGAAATATGAGACATAAAAAATATTGACGGACCTGGTGTTTATTTTCTTTGTTGATACGAGGCTTAGAAAACATTGGACAGAGCGGTTACATAGTTGACAAAGACTAAGCAAAGGTTACTCAGCCTTATGTTGTTCTAGTGTCAACACAGATAGAAGGAAAAATGTTTCCTCCATTGTTGCTGACGTAGATAAAGAATATTCCCTTCAATATGCTAACCCCTAGGTGGCTTTTCATTCAGAAGGTTCCTAATAATTTGATCTTTACCCTGAAATCAAACACATGGAAAAGAGATGGAAGAATGTCCTGGAGGGATTAAGTGAAGAAACAGACCAGGATTCATTTATGAAATATCCTCGGTGTTATTTCAATTCAGCTCCATTCACATTTTATTCTTTTGTGTCTCTGCACTAATGCCCTCCATATTCTCCATTCTCCTGCCTTAGCTAGCACCTTCTCGATCTTCCCTCTACAAAACTCCTTCAGTTCACATTGCATTTGTGCTCTATCCTGGGATATGTGTTTTCTTTCCCATTTCCTCAGTTGCTATGTATTAAAAATTAGGACTTTTATTCTTATGTTTCCAAGATTAATTCTTTGCATATTTAACTAGAATATTTAACTCTAACATTGACAGACATTTCAAGAGTATACCTGAAGCAATAAGCGAAATGCATTTTGACAAGTTTCTAGGGATATCATGGACATTAGTGATCGGGGCATGGAAGGAGGTGACTTATTCAATGTTTGAGTCTATTTAACAAATTTCATGGTGGTTACATCAACGTGTTCTTTTCCTGGTGATTTATCAATCTTTCCACTGTTGATGTGTGTGCTTTTCTGTTAGGCTCTACTTTAATACAACTTAAAAAAAAATTTTAATCTCATTTTACACATGGTGTGTATCCACTCCCTTCACACATAAAACTAGTCCCACTGTAAAAGGGAGTGACCAAGGATTTTTCCCCAGTCATCTCACCAAATTCTTACATAAGGTAATTTGTGGTCACCAGATTTGCTTCTTTATTAAAATAATATATAAATTTTAATATTGAGTAATACACATCATATTTAAGTTACTAAATTATCAGTTGTATACCTGAAACATGGCATGCACTAATCCAGGTAATGAGGAAAAAATAGAAGACTGTCCCTAGTTTTGAAAACATTTAACTACATTACCTGATTTTGATTCTGATCTTCACAAATTCTTATAAAGTATTTAGAGAAAGAATTAGCCCCATGGGAGATGAAGAAGCTGATGTTCACAGCAAATTATTGCCCCATTCCAGCAAGAGGCAGATGGGGCTTCAGAACCACGTCTTCTAACCTCTGGTCTGGTGTTTTGTGCCAAGCCATGATACTGATAAACAATTTACAAATGAGAGAAGTGGCTGGGCATGGTGGCTCATGCCTGTAATCTCAGCACTTTGGGAGGCCGAGGCAGTTGGATCACTTGAGGCCAGGAGTTCGAGACCAGCCTGGCCAACATGGCGAAACCCTGTCTCTACTAAAAATACAAAAAATTAACTGGGCGTGGTGGCACATGCCTGTAATCCCAGCTACTTGGTAGGTGAGGCAGGAGAATCGCTTGAACTCAGAGTGGAGGTTACAGTGAGTCAAGATTGTGCCACTGCACTCCAGCCTTGGCAACAGAGCAAGACTGTCTCAAAAACAAAACAAAGGGGAGAAGCACATGGCACAATGTGTATCTGCCAGCTTGTTAACCCTAATAATGACCTGGGGACAAAGGTCCCTTCAGAGCAACATGCTGATAAAAGCCATGTTCATTTGCTGTTGGATGCTAGTTAGGCTGGTCTAGCCAAGGACCTGATGACCCACATTGAGGGGTAATCAGATTCCCTGTGGGGTCTTTCTGCAGGTAAGGGATATGGATATAAAATTAACTTGCTTCTACAGACTTGTTTTATACAATAAACATCTATATGCAATATAAAATTGTAATAGAAGAAAGCATAAAGTCTACTTATTAAATACCTTATTAACTGCTTTATTCAATGCTCAGGAAGATATCAGGCAAAAAGGAATGATCAGAGAAACTGAAGATAATTAGATAATTATTTAGCGTAAAGAAAACAAAATGCAGACCTCTGTATCCACAAAAATTAAAAATCTGAAAAAGTGACAGAACATCCCTGTCAAGTTGGACAACTGACTTTAAATGAAGTGAAGTTCTGCTAAAGAATTCTGACAATTCTGTGAAAACAAAATGACTGAAATGTCAGGTCCTGACTCTACAAAGAAGTTCCATACATAAAGCAATTGTATTCATAGACAACTTTATGGCATCGATAGGTTATTTAGTTAAAACAACAGGCTGATTCACACACAAATGATAAAAACCAGATGCATTTTTAAGCTTCTTTTTCAGCTGTGATTGTACTGAGGATGGATTTCTTAAACCTGGGTGACTCCCGTGACCATGTCACACACTTAGCAGCATTTCACTGTGTGCTTCCTTCTAAATCCCAGGTAATAAAGGCCAGGAAAATACTTGGTTTGTTTTGACTACATTCCTTTGGTTTATACAACTAGCAAAGAATATAAAATGGTAAATACCTGTAGCTTGAACTCTGGTTGTTTCACATTGTATTTTTTATGAGCACTTTAAGCTTATTTGGTTTTATTAAATCATCACATACCTAAAAACAAGAATTGTTAGGCATCGCAAGCACTTAAAATTTTTCCTAATACAGAATTTGCCCTTAATAAATACTAGTGTAATAAATGAATGAAAAACTTTCATTTTAGAAGGCTTAGTACCTTTTAAAAATCTTTAAAAGAAAGTTTCCTTGGCATCTCAGGTTTGAAGAGACGACGTGGAAACTGAAGATTAACAAAGTTAGACTTTTATAGGCTCACATAGAACTGCATGTCAAGGGTGATGCTAGAAGCAAAAAAACACCAAAAAACTAAAATTATTTCCAGCTTCACTGATAAGTGGTTTAACTATTTTAAAATTGGAGCTTATGTAAAAAAGTCATTGGCTTTTGCTAGATTCTTCATATATTCCTTCTTTGAAGCAAACAGGAGGTAAGTCCCATTAAGGGGCATTTCTCAAGGGTAGAAGCAGAAAACACTTTCATGACTGAAAATTTAAATGCAAAGTTTAGGATTACATATGTCAGTTGATGTTATCAAAATTGTTCTTTCCCTGGATTTCCAAAGTGTTTAATTGAAATGACCAGTGATGTTAATGAAGTATTCTATAAACTTGGAAAAATTAAAATCAGAAAACATGTTTGAACATAGTTAAAACCATATCTTTGGGCCTCAGCTTCTGAATAGCTGAAGGTTTAATGAAGAGAACTGCTTTTCTGTCTCCCTGTATAAACTGGGGAAACTACTTCAAAGGGAGAAAGGATAATATAGTCTTGGCCCAAGGCAGGGATGCTTGCAAATAATGGCTTTGTGTAATTTGAAAGATTGTAAAAATCTTTACCTTTTTTGATTATCTTTGAAATGAAATCCCTTAATACATACACAGCATGTATTATAATCTTGTTCTTAGAAATAGAGAATACAGTTGTAAGGAGATGATTATATAGGTTGAAAATATGCCACCTTTTCACTTAAGAATACAATGAACCTGCTATAGGATGAAGAATGAACATAGATCACCTCACATTCCACTGGTCACTTAGAATTCTATTATGTACTAAAACCTAAATTATTTAGTACGTGTCCAGTTAGCAGACGCTTAGGTTACTTCCACTTTCTTATTGCAAATAACACCGGAATGCACTTTTTTAATAAATTGCCCACTCATCTGATTATTTCCATACTACGCTTCCCTAGGAGCGGAAGCTTGTACGTATTTTTTAAACTCCTGGCATTGACTCAGTGCACGCTCTCAAACCAGAAAACAAGACAGAAAACCCATTGTAATTCCCACCAGCAGTTTGAGATTCCCCCCTTTATCCTCGATGTTGATACAACCCAGCTCTCATGTAGAAGTTCAAGTTGAATAAGATTGACTGAAACTCTATTTCTGCACTGTGGCCCTTCTACATTGCTATCCTATTGAGGAAGCTTCGTGGGCTCATGCTCTAGGTAAGAATAAAATTAAGTTCAAGCCCTCTGCCTCTGGCAATCCAAGGCCCAGCTGAGTAGATCTGCATGTCATTGCATTTCATCGCCTTGCAAGAGTAAGAAGAATGTGACCCTAACTGTGCAGTGATAGACACGTATTAAGAGGGAGGGATGAGTTGTTTTCATGACTCCACCTAAGAGAGGCCTGAAAAGACCGCTTGATTGGCAAGAGGCCAAAAACAGCGTTAATTTTCCAAAGATGTTTAGTTCAATAACGAAGTCTAGATAATCTGGCTCAAGTCGTGAATAATCATTTCAGAAATGGTCCCTCAACTGTCCCCAATCCACAGCAGGGAGACTCTCCTGTAACTTAGTTCCCCCAAACTCCCAACTTTAGGGAACTTCTAAGAAAGTGATCTAGTGTGTTACAACAAAAGTAAACATCACCATAAGAATATAAAGTCTGACTACACAGTTGGCCCTTCAAATTATCTTTTAAAAAAATCTGTCCATTAGAGGTCTTCAGTACCTAGGAAAATATAGGATACGAGGACAATTATGTTGAAAAATTATCATAATTTAACTCATTGTTTCATTGCTTTGGCTAGGACTTTCAGTACCATGTTAAATAGAACTGGTGACAATGGACATCCTCACTTTGTACCAGACCATAGGAGAAACATTTTCATTTTTTATTAACTGTGGGCTTTTCTTATATGATGTGTTGAACTAAGTTCCTTCTATACCTGTTTTTCAGAGTTTTTACATGAATTGTCAAATGTTTTTGCTGCAAATTTTTTTATTCTCTTAATGTGTTATATCACACTGATTGATTTGCCTATGTTGAAGCATTCTTGCATCCCAGAGATACATTTCAGTTGGCTATGGTTTATTCTCTTTTTAATGGGCTGTTGAATTTGGTTTGTTAGTATTTTGTTGAAGATTTTTACACCTATGTTTATCAGTGATATTGACCTGCAGTTTTATTTGCTTGTGATTATCTTTGTCTGGCTTTGATATAAGTGTATGATGGCCTCATAAAATGAGTTTGGGGCGTTCTCTCCTGGTTTTTGAAAGAGTTTAAGAAGGATTGCTATTCTTCTTTGAATGTTTAGAATTCATCCACGAAGCCATTTGGTTCTGGTCTTTTCTCTGGGAATCTTTTGTTTACTAATTTGTTCTTATTGGTCTGTTCAGGCTTCCTATTTCCTCTTTAGTTTTGGTAGGTTGTATAAATCAAGAAGTTTGATTTCTTATAGATTATCTAATTTATAAGTGCATAATTTTCATAATAGTCTTTTATGATCCTTTTCATTTTGAGGCATTTGTTCTAATGACTCCTCCTATTTCTCATTTTAGTTTAGGATACTTTTTTTCTTAGTCTAGCTAAGGTTTATCACCTTTTAATTTTTAAATAGTTTTGCTGATTTTTCTAGTTTTTCCAGTCTCCTATTTCTACTTTAATATTTTATTCTCTATGATAACTTTGGACTTAGGCTTTCTGTTTCTAGTTTCTTGAGGTAAAAAGTTGGTTAATTTGAATTTTTTCTTTCATGTGGCTATTCGTTGCAATCAACTTTTCTCTTAGTACTGGATTTGGTGCATGTCATAAGTTTTAGTATATTGTATTTTTTGTTTGTCTTGAGATTTTAATTCTCCTTTGATTTTTCCTTTTGCCCAGTCATTGCTCAATTTAATGGTATGTATGTTAACACACCAATATGTGATAGAGCACATAAACCTCCAAATTACTAAAGTTATAAAAGATTTATACAACATACTTAATGGCAACAAAACTTGTAGATATGAATGCTCACAACAATAAGAAAAGTCCACGTTATTTTCTAGTGCACATGGGATTCTCACCAAAATCAATCACAGGTGGGCCTTTGACAGAATAATATAAACACGACATAAAACGTGTAGGATGCAGCTAAACCAGTGGTTACAGAAAAATTTGTCCCCATAGATCATTAAGAAGAAAGGAAGCCTAAATATTGACTAATCTCCTAATTCAAGAAGATAGAATAAAAAAATTCAAATTATATCTATAAAATGTGAAAAAAGGATGAAGTAGACACCATCTATATATAAATGTGTGTAGAAATCATAGATTAATATTCATGTTTCTGATTTCAGTTCCAGATCAAAATGTCTATAATCATTTTTCCACTTTCATGTTCTTTTTGCATTATTTTAAAAAATATTTTTAATTGAAATATTAAAATACATATTTTATGGGGTACAATGTGATATTTTGATACATGTATATTATTTGTAATGATGGAATTAACCTAAAGAACATATCACCAATTTTCATGGTGAGACATTTAAAATGTACCCACTTAGCAATTTTGATATATACAACACATATATTACATATATAATTATAATTTTGTATTATATATAATATACATTATACACATAAACATGTATATATGATATATACAATTATAATATTTTGATACATACAACACAATATCCAACTTTGATACAAATGAACAAGATTTTCTTCTATTTAAAGGCTGAATTACATTTCACTGTGGATATATGTCTTGTTTTCTATATCTATTCACCCATTGATGGATACTTAGGTTGATTCCATATCTTGGCTATTGTGAATAATGTTGCAATGAACATGGGAGTGCAGATATCTCTTTGACATACCCATTTAAATTGGATACATCCTTATTAATGGAATTCCTGAATCATAAGGGGTTCATACTATTAAGGCCTGCATCAAAAAGTCTGAAAGAGCACAAATAGGCAATCTAAGGTCACACCTCAAGGAACTAGAAAAACAAGAACAAACCAAACCCAAACCCAGCAGAAGAAAAGAAATAGCAAAAATCAGCGCAGAACTAAATGAAATTGAAACAAAAAATACAAAAGCTACATGAAACAATGTTGGTTCTTTGAAAAAAATAAGTAAAATTGATACTGTTAGCAAGATTAATCAGGAGAATAGTCAAATAAGCTCAACTAGAAATGAAACAGGTGATATGACAACCAATATCACAGAAATACAAAAGCTTATTGGTGGCTACTATGAACACCTTTATGCGTGTAAAATAGAAAACCTACAGATGATTTAATTTCTGTAAATATACAATGCTCCTAGATTAAACCAGGAAGAAATAGAAACTTTGAAGAGACCAGTAACAAGCAGCAAGATTGGAATGGTAATTAAAAAATGCCAACAAAAAAAGTCTGGGGCCAGATGGATTCACAGCTGAATTAATTGGCATCAATCCTACTGACACTATTCCACAAGATAGAGAGGGAAACCTTCCTAGATCATTCTATGAAGTCAGTATTGCCCTAATACCAAACCCAGGAAAGGACATAACAAAACCATAGACCAATATCCCTGATGAACATACATGCAAAAATTCTCAACAAAATACTATCTAACAGAATCCAACAGCATATCAAAAAGATAAATCATCATGATCAAGTGGGTTTCATAACAGGGATTCAGGGATGGTTTAACATATACAAGTCAATACATGTGATACATCACATAACCATGTGACTTGTGTTTTTAATTGTGTTTATCTCAATAGTTGCAGAAAAAGCATTTGACAAAATCCATCCCTTTATGATTAAAACCCTCAGCACAATCAGCATACAAGGGACATGCTGTAAGGTAATAAAAGTCACCTATGACAAACCCACAGCAAACATTATTCTGAATGGGGAAAAGTTGAAGGCATTCCCTGTGAGAACTGGAACAAGACAAGGATGCCCATTTTTGCCACTTATATTCAATATAGTTCTGGAAGTCCTAGCCAGAGCAATCAGACAAGAGAAAGAAGTAAAGGGCATCCAAATCAGTAAAGAGGAAGTTATGCTATCGGTTTGCTGATAATATGATCGTATACCAAGAAAACCCTAAAGACTCATCCAAAAAGCTCCTGGAACTGGTAAATGAAGTCAGCAAAGTTTCAGAATACAAAATTAATGTACACGACTCAGTAGCTCTGTTAATACAGCAATAGCTACCAAGCTGAGATTCAAATCAAGAGCTCAACCCAATTTACAATAGCTGCAAAATAAAATACTTAGGAATACCTAACCAAGGAGGTAAAAGACCTCTATGAGGAAAACTACAAATCACTGCTGAAAGAGATCGTAGATGACACAAATAAATTGAAACACATCCCATGCTCGTGGGTAGGTAGAATCAATAATTGAAAATGACCATATTGCCAAAGCAATGGACAAATTCAATGCACTTCCCATCAATACACCACCATCATTCTTCACAGAACAACAATCCTAAAATTCATATGGAACCAAAAAGCCCACATAGCCAAAGCAAGACTAGGAAAAAAAGAACGAAACCAGAGGCATCACATTACTCGACTTCAAACTATACTATAAGGCCATAGTCACCAAAATAGCTTGGTACTGGCATAAAAATCAGTATATAGACCAATGGAACAGTATAGAGAACCCAGAAATAAAACCAAATACTATAGCCAACTGATCTTCAACAAAGCAAACAAAAACATAAAAGTGGGGGAAAGGACACCCTATTCAACAAATGGTGCTGAGAAAATTGGCAAGCCACATGTAAAGAATGAAACTGGAACCTCATCTGTAACCTTATAGAAAAAACAACTCAAGATAGATCAGACTTAAACCTAAGACCTGAAATTATTAAAATTCTAGAAGATAACATCAGAAAATGTTATCTTGTAGACATTGGCTTAGGCAAAGACTTCATGACCAAGAACCCAAAAGCAAATGCAATAAAAACAAAAATAAATGAGACTTAATTAAACTAAAAGGCTTGTGCACAGCAAAAGACATAATCATCAGAGTAAACAGACAACCCATGGAGTGGGAGAAAATCTTCAGTCTCTACATCCAACAAAGGACTAATATCTAGAATCTACAAGAAACTCAAATCAGCAAGAACAAAACAAAGCCATTAAAAAGTGGGCTAAGGACACAAATAGACAATTCTCAAGAGAAAATATACAAATGGCCAACAAACATGAAAAAAATGCTCAACATCACTAATTATCAGGGAAATGAAATTCAAAACCACAATGCAATACCATCTCACTCCTGCAAGAATGGCCATAATCAAAAAATCTTTAAAAAATAGACATTGGTATGGATGTGCTGAAAAGAGAACACTTTTATACTGCTGGTGCAAATGTAAACTTGTACAACCACTATGGAAAAGTCTGGAGATTCCTTAAAGATCTAAAAGTATATCTACCATTTGATCCAGCAATCCCACTACTGGGTATCTACCCAAAGGAAAATAAATCATTACACGAAAAAGATACTTGCACACATGTTCACAGCACCACACTTCACAATTGCAAAAATATGGAAGCAGCCCAAATGATCATCAATCAATGAGTAGATAAAATCATATATATTCATATATTCACACATATACTCATATATTCATATATATTCATATATTCACACATATACTCATATATTCATATATACTCATATATTCATATATACTCATATTCATATATACTCATATATTCATATATACTCATATATCTTCATATGTATATAGATGAATGCTACTTAACCATGAAAAGGAATGAAATAATGGCATTTGCAGCAAACTGGATGGAATTAGAGACCGTTATTCTAAGTGAAGCAACTCAGGAATGAAAAACCAAACATTGTATGTTCTCACTCACACGTGGGAGGTAAGCTATGAGGATGCAAAGGGATAATAATGATACAATAGACTTTGGGGACTTGGGGGAAAGGGTGGAAGCAGGTGAGGGATAAAAGACTACACATCAGGTACAGTGTACACTACTTGGGTGATGAGTGCACCAAATTCTCAAATTGCCATGAAAGAACTTATTAATGTAACCAAACACCACCGGTTCCCCAAAAACCTATTGATATAAAAAATATAAATAAATATCATATATATATCATCCAGGGGCAGTAGCTTATGCCTATAATCCCAACACTTTGGAAGGCTGAGGTGGAAGGATTGCTTTAGCCTGGGTATTTGAGACCAGCCTGGGTAACATAGTGAGACCTCATCTCTCCAAAAATTAAATTTTAAAAAATCAGGGAGGCATAGTGGCACGTGTCTATAGTCCTAGCTACTCAGGAGGCTGAGGTGAGAGGATCGCTTGAGCCCGGGAGATTGAAGCTGCAGTGAGCCACAATTGCGAAACTGCACTCCAGCCTGGGTTGACAAAGCAAGACCCTGACTCAAAAACAGGGCGGTATATATTTTACAGATACATCAAAGTCTTATCTGTGCTCTCTTGAATTCCCTCTCTTAGTGTCCTCAGACCAATTTTTTTAAACAGGTGTGTATCTTCCCTATCAATTTTTAATATTTTTATTGCAGATATGTGTCCAAATGTAATATTTTAGTAGGATGTATTTGTTAAATGGTAACACACTGATCATTCTGCAACATATTTTCCTTCAACTTTACTAATTGAAATGTTCACAATAAATTGGTATTAATATTGATCATGTGTGCATTTTCTTTATATTAATATTTAGGTTTACCACTTTTTCATGCTTTATAATGTAAGAGTATCTATCCTTGTATAATCTCCTTGGAAGTCTTAGGTAGTGAAGAAAGAACATCTTCAATGTTATGAGATATTACTGAATTCATCTCTAAAGGAGTTGCACTAATCTCTCTAACCATCATTTTTCCTTCTTCATTTATTTAACAAATAATCAATTTTTACTATTATGTTGGTGCAAAAGTGATATATGCCAGGCATAGTGCTAATGTTAGAAAACAACAGAGAAGAAAATAAATATATTTTGGTCTCCTTGTGCAATAACAAAAACCCAAACAGTGAATAGGTAAAACATACGATGTGGTCATGCCAGATGATGATATGTTATGAACATAAAATAGGGAACACTGTTGCAAATTTTAAATATAATTATGGATCAGTCAGAATGCACAAGGTAATGCCATAGTAACATCTCAAGCTGCATAAAAACATTGTTTATGTGATGTTCACATTGTAAATCTGTCAGATGGTACTCGGGGTCCACTCATCAAAAGTCCCTCAAGGACCTAAGATGATGGATAACTTTGTTGACCATTTTGTCATTTTATGTTCTAGAATATGTTTATATTTGTGGCTATACATGAAGCTTGTACAACTATTGAAGTATATCCATAAAAAAAATAAGTGTACAGCTCATTAAGGATTTCATAGCAGTACCTAAAATGTATCTAGAATTTTGCAATTTTACATATTAATAACCCTCCACCTGCCATTTTTAAATGCTTATTTAGATTTCTAACTTTCATACCTATACAGCATTTGGATAGCCCATTAATTTTTAATTATACATATTCATGTGGAATTTTCATTGAAACTTAGGAATAATTAAAATACAAGAGTGAGTTGAAGCTTGTGTGAAGAGTACAAAAGAAGGATTGTGATGTCTGAGGTGTGAGAGTTCTCACTGATTGAGTAGAGCACGCCTTCATAAAGAAATTGTCATATTATCTGAGCATTTATGACTGGTAGTTTATATAGAAATGCATTTGGTAAATTCACAGCAAAGAAGCAGGATACGAGAAGTTATGAAGGAATATGAAAGTGTGTGGTTTAAAGATACTCTGAGATATTGGAAGAAGCAATGTTGGAAGACAGGGTGGGTACCAGCCAAGGACAGAATATGCTCATTCTGTCTCCTGGTGTCAGTATCTGCTTCTGCAGTTGGGCTTATGAGTTGGATTCTGCATCTGAGGATTCAACCAATCATGGACTTAACCAATCATGGATTGAAAATATAATTAGGCTTATCATGGTCACATTGGTACAGACTTTTCTAAATTTTATTTTTGTTGTGACATAGGTGTATACATTTATGGGGTACATGAGATGTTTTGATACAGGAATGCAATGCATAATAAATGCATGATGAAAAATGGAGTATCCTCTCAAGCATTTATCTTTTGTGTTATAATTTTATTATACCCTTTTAGTTATTTTTAAGTGTACAATTAAATTGTTATTGACGATGTCAGTCTATTATGCTAGTACTTATTCATTCTAACAAATTTGTTGTATCCATTAACCATCCCCACCTACCCCTTCACCACCCCCAGTACCCTTCCCAGTATCTGCTAAGCATATTTCTAATTTATATCTCCATGAGTCCAGTTGTTTCGATTTTAAGGTGCCAGAAATAACTGAGAACATGCAATGTTTGTCTTTCTGTGCCTGGCTTATTTGACTTAGCATAATGGCCTCCAGTTCCATCTATGTTGTTGCAAATGACAGGATCTCATTATGTTTTGTGGCTATATAGTACCTATCATGTATAAGTACCACATTTTCTTTACCCATTCATCTGTTGATGGACACATAGGTTGCTTCCAAATTTTAGCTATTGTGAACAGAGCTGCAACAAACATGGAAGTGTAGATGTCTTTTCAGTATATTGATTTCTTTTCTTTTGGGTATATACCCAGCAGCGGGATTGCTGGATGATACGTTAGCTCTATTCTTAGTTTTTTCGAGGAACCTCCAAACTGTTCTCTGTTGCACCTTTAAATACAACTTTAAATGCAACTTCACATTCCCACAGAGTTTATGAGGGTTCCCTTTTCTCCATGTCCTCACCAGCATTTATTTTTGCATGTCTTTTGTATAAGAGCCATTTTAATTGGGATGAGATGGTATCTCATTGTAGCTTTGATCAGCATTTCTCTGATCAATGTTGAGCACTTTTTATGTGCCTGTTTTTGATTTGTATGTTGTCTTTTGAGAAATGTCTATTCAATCTTTTATCAATATATAAATCAGATTATTAGATTTTTTCCTATAGATTTATTTGAGCTCCCTATGTATTGTGGTTATTAATTCCTTGTCAGGTGTGTAGTTTGAAAACATTTTCTTCCATTTTGTGGGATGTCTCTTCGTTGATTTATTTCCTTCACTGTGCAGAAGCTTTTTAACATAATGTGCTCTCCTTTGTCCATGTTTGCTTTGGTTGCCTGTGTTATGGAGTATTACTCAAGAAATATTTGCCCAGACAAATATCCTGGAGATTTTCTCCAACGTTTTCTTCTGGTAGTTTCATAGTTTGAGTTCTTAAAGTCTTTAGTCCATTTTGACTATATCTTTGTATATGGCGAGAGACGGGACTAGTTTCATTTTTCTTCATATAGATATCCACTTTTCCCAGTACAGCTTATTGAAGAGACGATCTTTTCCCTGGTGTATGTTCCTTGCACCTTTGTAGAAAATGAGTTCACTGTAGGTATGTGGATTTGTTTCTGAGTATTCGGTTTTATTGGTCTATGTATCTGTGTTTATGCCAGAACCATGCTGTTTTGGTTATGGTAGCTCTGTTGTAGTATAATTTGAAGTCAGGCAATGGGATTCCTCCAGTTTTGGTGGGTTGGTTGGTTGGTGGTTTTGCTTAGAATAATTTTGGCTCTTCTGGGTGTTTTGTGCTTTCATACAAATGTTAGGATAGTGTCTTCTATATCTGTAAGAAATGTCATTGGTATTTTGATAAGGATAACATTGAATCTACAGATTGCTTTGAGTACTATGGATATTTTAACAATATTGATTCTTTTGGTTCATGAATCTGGAATATGTTTTCATTTTTAGTGTCCTCTTCAATTATTAATGCTTTATAGTTTATCATTAGAGAACTATTTCACTTCTTTGGTTAATTCCTATTTAATTTTATTTGTGGCTATCATAAATGAGATTACTTTTTAAATTTGTTTTAATCTATTTGCTATTGACATATAGAAATCTGCCTTGTATCCTGCAACTTTCCTGAATTTATTAGTTCTAATAGGTTTTTGGGGAGACTTTAGGTTTTTCCAAGTATAAGGTCCTATCATCTGTGAACGAAGATAATTTTACTTTTCTTTGAAATTTGATGCTATATCTATATCTCTATATCTATATCTATCTATATATATAGATATATTTACATATAGATAGATTTATTTATATTTGTTTCTCTTGTCTGATTGCTCTAGCTAGAACTTCCAGTAATATGTTGAATAACAATGGTAACAATAGTTGCACTAAAGTGCAAGACTAAGTCTCTCTTAATTTTCTTTAATTTTCTGTCCACTTTCCTCAAGCAGAAGGAGTCTTGCCCCATAGCCACCATAGCTGGTAATATGCTGAGTCTCACCCGGAGCCAGCATGCCTCAGAGTTTCACCCAAGGCCCTCATGACTCTAGCTGGTATCCAACCCTGATGTGGCTGAGCTGGTATCCAAGATGCAAGACAAAGTCCTCCTCACTCTTCCCTCTCCTCTCCTAAAGCAGAGGAAAGAGGCCTCTTTTGGAGCCACAAGCCGTGGAGGCTGAGGTTAGGGGATGAGTTTAGCTGCCCTGGCTGGTGTTTTAACAGGTCATGTGTCCCCCGAGTCCACTGGCTCTGGGCCCAGATTAGCATTAGGATTTGCAGCTCTTGTGGCCTAGACTGCCCTTCAGGTTTGTCTGTGGCTCCAGAGCCACTTTAGCCCTTCATGGTGAGGCTTGGGTAACTCAAGTTCCAAACACTGGGATTCGCAATTCCCTTCCAGCAATGGCTGGTTTAAATGCGCCCTTCATGGTGGGTGTCAGCTGAATTTGGTCTGGGTCTTCTTTCTGCTATAAGAAGGGCATCGCTGAGCTCAGTGTCTTAGAATTGCTGGCTCTCCCTCTCCTTAGTGCACAGAGAAGCTCTCCATACCACACCACCGCTGCTGGGGGATGAAGGGGTGGTAGTGTCAGTGATGCAATACTGTTTTTCCAACTTCTTCAATGCCTCATTCAGAAATATGAATTTAACTCCATGTACTGTGAGTGCTCACCTGAGTTTTGGTTCTTGAGAAGGTGTTTTTTGTGTAGATAGTTTTTAAATTGGTGTTCTTGCAGGGGGATGATCAGTGGAACCTTCTATTCTGCCATCTTGCTCCATCCTCCAGACTTTTTTCCTTGTCATTATTTCCTAAAAAATATAGTATAACAGCTATTTACATAGCATTCATATTGCATTAGTTGTTATAAGTAATCTAGACATGATTTCAAGCATACGGGAAGATTTGTGTAGGTTATATAGAAATACTCTGCCATTTCATATTAGGGTCTTTAGCATCATGGATTTTGGTATTTTCACGATGTCCTGGTACTGAGGACAGATAGTGAGGGATGACTGTACACAGGGATGAATACACTACTCAGTACTTGTACGTTTGTCATGCTAGAAAGACTCAGCAAAGTCTCGGAACCTTGCAGGCACTGAGAAAAGTGGCTCCCTTTTCCCATTCTCTTTCATTCCCAAATTATATAATCTAAATTCGATGAGACTAATATTTCAAGGGAAGTCTCTGAGCCTTTAAGGAGAGGGGCGATGTGGGAGAAGGTCACCCTGTCATGGAGAAATCTTAGACCACATTCGGTCATCAGATTCATAGATGTCTTAAGAGTCACAGAAGCATAGCAAGTACATAACACTCCTTTTGATTCTGAGAAAGTGACACTCAGAGCTTTTAGTGTCTTGACTAAGATTACACAATTAATTGGAAGCAAATATAATAAATGGTAAATGTTTTAGAACCTAAAAGGTTGTCAGACTCCGATATTTTCTCCTGAATCTGGGAAAGCCCCAGCTGTGTTAATGGAGAGTGTCTACAGATGCAACTTTTCCCCACGAAAGATGGCTTTGTAGGGCCATTTCAAAATATGTCAAATACATACTTTGGGGTGGAATATTTTGATTTTCCTCAGGGTCTGCTATCTGTCATGTGATGCTATACCAGAGTCAGGTTGGAATTTGGTATCTTATTGCCACTCAGTCTGTTTTGTCAGTCTTAGGAACTCTATTTCAATGTTATTGCTGGTCAGTTGTGCCTAAATTCCAAAAGATGGGTGTAATGAAGTGTGTCTCCCTTCTTATGTCCTGCAATTAAGCTTTTCAGCTTTCCTGAGATTCTCGTGGCCTAGAGGGGGTCTGTTCAGTTGATTAGGGGTCTTAGGATTTTAAATTTAGTTTACAGACTTCTGACACTGGTTTTGCATGATCCTCCCTTTGTGAAATTCAGATTTGCTTTTACAAAGAGAGCTTATTTTAAATGTCTGATATGAAAATATAATTTTAAACTAGAAAAATGAAGTTGTTTAAAAAATGTGCAACGTCATGAGAAAGATGGATTTGCTTTTGGATAGATGCATCGCATAAATGAAAAACATGTTTAATTCCCACGTGGACCGTGAGTGGAAAGTTAGAATATAACCATCAAAAACAAATAGCAAAAGAAAACAAAAATACCAAAATAGTGGATTCTGAGAGGGTCTTAAAGAAAATAGAAGCTCCAGGAAAGAGACAATGCCAAGTACAGGAAAGATGAATAAGAAGGAAAAAAAAAAAAAAAAAGGAAAACAAGGCAAAGAATTAAGCAATAAACACTCATCTCAATTCCCTAATGTGAAGAAACTGACGATGTAATTTTCTCATTTTCATTCTGAATTTAAACCCCTTTGCTTTGGCCTTAGAATGGTGAAAGCAGCTTCACTGAGCTGGCGTGGCTTAGATTTATTGTCTGATGGAACAGAAAAGATGGAGCAAAAGGTTTGTGCTCTATGTGCCGTGTTCGTCTCTTTGTTGAAAGGTGTCTTGATGACCTGTCTCTTCAGTGCTTTATAAAGGGGATAAGTAAGGAACAAAGATACCTGACTCTTGTTGCTAGCTCTTCATAATTCTGACTTTAGGTTTCCTGAAGTCCCAGGGTTTTTTTTTGTTTTGTCTCTTGTTTTGTGTGTGTGCTTTGTTTTTGTTTTGTTTTTTTGTTTTTTTGCCCTAGGAACAGTGCGTTGTATTTCACTTTGCATTTCCACATGCCTCAGTCACTATTAGTTTTTTCCTCAGCATTATTTCTCTAACCTGCAGTACAGCAACCCTGAGGATGACCAAACCTCAGTCATGGAGCTCCTGACTCTTCATTAGTCTAGAAGTTAGTGGGCTTTTTAACTTTGAGACAATTGTATCAAGCATGATTAAAACAATGCAACTGGAAAATTAAAACTGAAATATTCAGACAAAGCAGTCACTGAGCAAAGCTATGAATTTATGGGAGGGGATGGTGATTAGTTTGTTATGCAAAGGAGATGCAGGACAAGAGGATCCCTAGGCTTGGTTGCAGGGCTGCGGTTTTATGAAAGATTCAACACAACTGCCTCATGTGCTTTAACTTCATTTTTCAATCACTATGAACGGAATTTTGGACATTTTAGGCATGATTTTTGGGGGATAAATGGTATCAGCAAAATGAAAATAAATATTTTGTTTATATTTCAACTAAATACTTGATATTTAGGGCATCTGCAGCATTTATTGCTGTGATTTCTTGTAAAAATATTTCTCTGCCTGACAGTTAATAAATTAAATGCCTTAGATTTCACTGGGGACTGGGAGAGGGCTCACTGTGCCTACTGCTGCTCTCCTGCTCGGCACTAGTTCTGCACCCCAAGCTACTCTCCTCAGGCAGGCGGGACTCTCCCTCTGCTCCTCTGCCCCAGTCAGCACTACTTATGGAATGCAACCTTGTGAGGAATAGCAGAATAAATTGAAAAGTTTTCGTGAGGAAAGTGGACTTAAATGGAGATATATAATGGTAGAAGAAATTTAAGGAGATTTCCAGTTTTCAGATTATTTCATGGTATTAGTTATGATATTTGTACCATTAACAATATTAATATTAACCTTATCAGCCGTGATTTCCATCACTGAGTCCTGGATGAGCTACTGTATCCAAAAAGTAGTGAAAATTTCAACCCAACACTAACACTGTGTTACAGACCTAACGTGCATTCCCTACTTCAGTCTCTAACCATCCCACAAGGCCAGTATACTTGTGTTCTTAATTCTGGGGGGAAATAAGACATAGAGTGTACCTGTCTTCACTCTTGACTTAGCTCATGAATAGTCACCTCCCCAGATCTGTTTCGTAGTTCACTTTAGCTTGTGGCCAAGATACAACTTGACCTAAGATTTGAACTTATGATTTTATGTCAGTTTAAATCAATATTTAGAAAAATAATTCAAAGCACATGTCTTACCAGAAAAAGGTCAGGAAAGCCATGTACATAGGAAAGATTTAAAATTAATGACTTTTTTTTCCTCAGGGGGAAACTGAGCCAGTCATGTGCTCAGGGAATCAGACTTCTCAGAATCAAACAGCAAGCACTGATTTCACCCTCACGGGACTCTTTGCTGAGAGCAAGCATGCTGCCCTCCTCTACACCGTGACCTTCCTTCTTTTCTTGATGGCCCTCACTGGGAATGCCCTCCTCATCCTCCTCATCCACTCAGAGCCCCGCCTCCACACCCCCATGTACTTCTTCATCAGCCAGCTCGCGCTCATGGATCTCATGTACCTATGCGTGACTGTGCCCAAGATGCTTGTGGGCCAGGTCACTGGAGATGATACCATTTCCCCGTCAGGCTGTGGGATCCAGATGTTCTTCTACCTGACCCTGGCTGGAGCTGAGGTTTTCCTCCTGGCTGCCATGGCCTATGACCGATATGCTGCTGTTTGCAGACCTCTCCATTACCCACTGCTGATGAACCAGAGGGTGTGCCAGCTCCTGGTGTCAGCCTGCTGGGTTTTGGGAATGGTTGATGGTTTGTTGCTCACCCCCATTACCATGAGCTTCCCCTTTTGCCAGTCTAGGAAAATCCTGAGTTTTTTCTGTGAGACTCCTGCCCTGCTGAAGCTCTCCTGCTCTGACGTCTCCCTCTATAAGACGCTCATGTACCTGTGCTGCATCCTCATGCTTCTCGCCCCCATCATGGTCATCTCCAGCTCATACACCCTCATCCTGCATCTCATCCACAGGATGAATTCTGCCGCCGGCCACAGGAAGGCCTTGGCCACCTGCTCCTCCCACATGATCATAGTGCTGCTGCTCTTCGGTGCTTCCTTCTACACCTACATGCTCCCGAGTTCCTACCACACAGCTGAGCAGGACATGATGGTGTCTGCCTTTTACACCATCTTCACTCCTGTGCTGAACCCCCTCATTTACAGTCTCCGCAACAAAGATGTCACCAGGGCTCTGAGGAGCATGATGCAGTCAAGAATGAACCAAGAAAAGTAGTAAAGGGCAAGCATTGTCCCCTCCTCTTTCTATAATTCCGTTACTCCCTATCTCTCCTCTCTTTTGCCCTCAGGTCTCCGGGTCCCCAGCACAAAGCCCACTCATATTTTCCTTCTTTCTTATACGTGGCGTTTTCCCTCCATACTGCTTATTGCTCCCATTTATCTCATTAGATTTAATATCTTTAGAGTGTTTTTAACTGCACTGCAGTAGCTGACCTATGAAAGACCTTATAGAGTGCCTTTTATCTTATCTCCCATCCCAGGTTCATTGAGCATTTTAGTATGAGACTTGGTCTTAAACACTTTACCCCTCGAAGAGACTCATTGTAAAGACTTAGAATCCTAGCAGAGCCCTAGAGGAGGAGTATTGGCTGCTCCCTCCCTTTGCAATACATTGTAAACCTCGGTTCACATTGGCAGCCACTGGGGTCAGTGTTTCTGCTATTGTATCTCAGTAAGTACAAAGAAACGCATTTTCTCCAAAGGCTGAAGTGAACTTTGTAGTGTAAACACCAGTAGTTTTAGCATTGGCCATTGGAACCACCTAAACCAAAAATGAATCCATTTCAAAATTCAAAGAATAGGTTCATCTATTTCATAGTATGTAAATAAAAGTAGTTCCAGATTTAGTTTCTTTAGGATTTAGTCTATTCCAGACAATGGTCTACTATGTTTACAATAAATATCATAACAGTCGCGTGCGATAATGGAGACTTAGGAAAGCTTAACCCCCTCAGCATGTTTCTTCTGAAACTGGGAAAACCAGCAAAATGGTTATAAACTTGTCACTAACCTTTAGTTTGCCAGATGTATATCATGCTACAAAGGTAACTTCTGTAAATCTATGAGCATCAGATCACTATCATTTTCATTAACAAAATAATTCATGGGTCTAGTATTTCTGGAACGTGAGAAATTAGGAAAGAAATACATTTGTTCTAATATGCAAGAAGCTGAATCTCGAGCTGTATCGTGAAGCTGTTAATTTACTTCCCCTTGGCACAGCCCTGACCTTGCCTGATTTACCGACAATGAATGGAAGCCAGGTGTTCCCATGCCTATCGCATCTTCGAGAGAAATGACAAGTACTTGCTTTACATGACACATCGACCGAACACTTTTGCTTCTCACTGAAAATTATTCCTGCAGTGCATGAAAGGAGTTTGTCTGAGTTTGTGTACAGAGATCTGAATTTGGAAGTAAATTCCACCAAGTGGTGCAGAAATATCACTTGTAAGAGGGGGTTGTTAGAGGTAGGTAAAATTTGGTTTCAGAAATTGCTGTAATTAAATAAATGGGCAAAACTGCTCAAATGGACACCACAGATGACTAATTTAACAATGTTCTTATGTTGTCATTATATTATTTATATAATTATTTACCTCAGGAAGGTGTACAGAGTGGGATTGCTGAATTATAGAGTAGCTCTATTTTTAATCTTTATAGAACTGTCATACAGCTTTCAACACAGGCTGTTGCAACTTACGTTTCTACCAGCAATGCACATGTACAAGTGTTCCATTTCCTACACACACTTGACAGCACTTGCTATGTATTGCCTGGTAATAGCCATCCTAGCAGGTGTGAGCTGATATCTCATTGTGGTTTTGATTTGTGTGGCCCTGATGATTAGTGATGTTGAACATCTTTTCATTCACCTGTTGGCTATTTGTATTGCCTCTTTGGAAAAATGCCTATTCACACTGTCTTTACCATTTTTAAGTTGGGTAATTTGATATTTGCTAATGATTTTGTCAGTTTCTTTTATATTTTGGATGCTAACTCCTTATCCAAAATATGGTTTGCAGATATGTTCTCCCATTGCAGAGATTACCTTTTCATTTTATTGTTTCCTTTTCTGTGCAAAAGTTTTTGCATGTTGATGCAGTCCTACTTGCTTATTTTGCTTTTGTTGCCTTAATTTTTGTGTCATATCAAAAATATCACGGCCAAGATCAATGTCAAAGAGCTGTTTCCCTATGTCATCATCTAGGACTTTTACAAGTCCAGGTCTTCCATTTAAGTCTTCGATCCATTTAGATTTGGTTTTGGGGGAATAGTGTAGGATAAGAGTCCAATTTCGTTCCTCTGCATGTATGTATCTGGTTTTCCCAATGCCATTTATTGAACAGACTATCCTTTCTTCATGCTGCATTTTTGGCACCCTCATCAAAGACTAATTGACCATATAAGCATGGCTTTATTTCTATAATTTGTAATATAGTTTGAAATCGGAGTCTGAAGCCTCCAGCTTTGTTCTTTTTATCAATATTGCTTTGGCTATTTGATATTTTTGTGCATTCACAAAATTTCTAGAATGGTTTTATTCTATTTATGTAAAAAATGCCTGTGGATTTTAGTTGGGGTTATACTGAATCAGACATTTTCTGGAGTAATATGGACATTTAAAGAATATTAGTTATTCTAACCCATTAACATGAGATATCTTCCCACTTATTTATCTCCTCTTTAGTGAACAGATCTTTCACTCCCTCAGCTGTATTTATTCCTATGTATTTTATTCTATTGGATGGTATTGGGAATGGTATTCTTTTCTTAATTACATATTTGGATGGTTCCTTTTTGGTGTATAGAAATACAACTCATTTATATATGTTTATTTTGTATCCTGCAAGTTTCTTGAATTCTTTAACTCTGATGGGATTTTGCTGGAGTCTTGAGTTTTTTATATGTAAAATCATGTCATCTGCAAACAGATGGCAAGATAATTTAACGTCCTCTGATTTGAAAGCCTTTTCTTTCTTTTTATTGCCTAATTGCTCTGGCTAGTTTCTGGTATTATGTTGAATAGAAGCAGTGAGAGTGAGCACTCTTGTCTTGTTCCTGATCTTAGCGGAAAATCTTTCTCTCCATCGAGTATGATTTAGCTGTGAGATTTATTATGTAAAGGCACATTCCTTCTATAACAAATCTGCTGAGTTCTCATCATGAAAAGATGTCGAATTTTATCCAATGCTCTTTCTATGTCTATTGAGATGCACAATTGTTTTTGTCATTTATTCTGTTAATGTGGCATATCATATTTATTGATTGGTGTATGTTGAACCATCTTTGCATCTGTGGGAAAAAAACTTGGGACCCCAATTTACTATGCCAAAAGGAAAAAAGATACTAAGCTGAAAGCTGAGTTATGCAAGAAACTGCATTTCCTTTGGTTTTTGTTTTCTTTTTGTTCCTAATCAGTTAACTACAGATGAAAGGTTAGAGTAACAGGCAGTAACTCCACATTCTCCTTACCTGACGTAAAGCGATGATCCTTCTACTGAGTGTGAAAGGAATACATAAATGACTATTCACCTACCTGCTTCTTTGCTTCTTTTCTTCTTGCAACCTGTGGATTATCATACTCTCCCTCTTTCCCCTCTAGCCTGCTTTCCCCTTTAAATATTAAAGTCCTCAAAATTATCTTTAAAGAAAAGCACAGACCACAGACTGTTTCTGTAATTGTGTTCTTTTTTCCAAGCATGTCCTTTACCTTGGTGAAATAAACTTTCAATCTGATTGAGACCTGTCTCACATACTTTTGGTTTATACATCCTAGGAATAATCCCACTTGATTATGGTGAAGTATCCTTTTAATGCACTGCTTAATTTGGCTTGTTAGTATTTTGTTAGTTTTTACCAAAAATTATGAAAGCTGTTTTTCAGGAATATTGACCTATAATATTTTGGGAGTTAGTGTTCTTATCTGGCTTTGGTTTAAAGGTAATGTTGGCTTCAGTAAATGAATTTGGAAGTGTTTTTGCCCTTCAATGTTTTGAAAAAATCAGAGGAGGATATGTGTTAGTTCTTTAAGTGCTTGGATGAATTCACCATGAAGTCTTCTAGTCCTAGGCTTTTCTTGGGAGATTTTTTTTTTTTTTTTTTTTTTTTTTTTAGACGAAGTCTTACTCTGTTGCCCAGGCTGGAGTGCAGTGGCATGACCTCGGCTCACTGCAACCTCCGCCTCCTGGGTTCAAGTAATCATTTCATGTGCTGAGTACTCTTATACCTACTTTCTTAGCAATTTTCAAGTATATAATTGTTGAAACTGTAGTCAGCATGATGTACCATAAACCTCCTGAACTTATTTCTCCTGCTTAAATAAAATTTTGTATCCTTTGACCCACATCTTCTCTTTTCCTTCCTCACTCCAAACTCTGGTAACCACCATTTTACTCTTTGTTTCTATGTGTTTGACTATTGGACACTTCACATATAAATGAAATTGTGCAATATTTGTCCTATACCAGGCTTATTTTATTTAAAATATTGTCCTCTGGGCTCATCCATATTTTTCCAAATTATAGAATTGTCTTTGACTTTTGACAAACTGATCATAATATGTCTCAGGTATAATGTTTTGGTTTGTTCTTGCTTGGGTTCCTTTGAACTTTATGAATCTGCATGTCTCTATCACTCACAAATTTAGGAAATGTTGTCATTTTAGCTTTGTTTTTTTCTCCTTCTGTGAATGTCATAATACACATATATATTTGCTTGATGTTGTCTTATAGTTCCCAGATGCTTCTACATTTTATTTTTTTTGTTCCTCTAACTGTATGATCTAAATTCAAGTTCATTGCCTCCTTTCACTGTATGATGAAATATGTTGTCAAAGTACTCTGTTGACCTTTTCACTTCCATAATTGTATTCAGAATATTTTACAAGCTTTACACTAAAGTTAACGAGATTTACACACCTCCATTACAGTACTAGAGTGTTCCAAATTTGACTACAAATCTTCTCAGCACAAGAATTCTTTCCTTTTTTGATGTCAATGTCTTTATTATATTTCTCATTTTGTTTATGCATTTTTTTATTAGTTTTAGATCTCTGTTATTTTGAAGCTCTTTGATCCTATTTAATATGATTTTAAAATTCTTAGGCAATTCATAGATTTCCATTTCCTTGGGGTTGCTTAATGAAGCTTTATTACTTTGGTGGTATTTATTACTTTGGTGTCACATTTGCCTGATTTTTTTGTGACTCAAGTAGCTATGCATTGATGTGTGCACATTTGAAGTTGCAAACAGCTCTTCTGGTCTGCATAGACTGGTTTCAGTAGGTAAAGACATTCTCCTGTCATTTCTCTAGGCTAATAAGAATTACCTCCAGGACTGCAGTTGAGCAGGGTTAGAGCCATGTCATGTGGCTACTCCTGAGTCTACAGCAGAATTTTTAGTTGGCAAGCTTGTTACCAGAAGTCGAGTTGAGTATAAATCCTGTCTGGTCTCTTGGTAGAGAAGACTGCCTCTAGTACCTTGGTCAATAGGGCTATCGCTAGGACACTCTGCTTCAGGGTTCACATTTGGTTCTGTAGATGGCATGCCTGTTACCACGTACAGAAATGGGTGTGGATTCTATTGAGTCCCTTGAAGGACTCCCATTATATTGGTGGGAAAGTCTCTGGGCAAGAAGGATTGTCCCCAGACCACAGTTGAGAGGACCTGGAACTGAGTCTCAGGGCTGTGTCATGGACCACAGCTGAGTCTGAGGTCTTCTGTCCTGCATGGATGGGTGTACCTCCTGCATAGTCCCTGTAAATATAAGATATAAGATATCCCCAAGCTGTGGTTGAATGGAAGCTGGAGCTGGATAAGAGGGCTGATTCAGGATCTCCAGCTGACTGATGTCAGCAGTCTTGTTTACAGGGGCATCGATCAATGTGTCACCCAGGAGGTCACTGAGTGGGCAGGACTGCTTTTGAACAATGGAAAAGGGTGCCAAGTAACAGAGCTGCTTCAAGATTGGCAGTCGGACGTAGTTTTGAGAGCCTGCCTCTAGGCACATGAACAGGGTTGCCTCCTGGCAGGTCTCTGTGCAGGAAGGTCTATTCCCAGACCATGGCTGAGGGGGACTGGAGCTGGGTCATGGACTGCTTCAGGGTTCAGAGCTAGAACTAAGGTTAGCAGGCCTGTGACTTGAGGGTACTGGTCAATGTGAGTGCCCCTGGGCCCCTTGGCAGATGGTTCAGGTGGCAGGACCAATGCCAAACAGGGCACTAGCTGAGTCCAGAGGGATGTTAATTCTGTGTCTGTAGCCAGGACCACAGTCAGTGAGCCTGCCACCTGGGTGTGGCCCTGCCTTCTCAAAATAGCTCTCTTCAGTGTTGGGATTCACCAGTTTTGACACTTCCTGTCAAGATCCAGAAGTTCCCACCAAGGGACTTTTGTGCCAGACAGGCTGCTATATTATTGCTGCTTTGAGGGGATACGATTATAGGAGCTCCTCTTCAACCATCTTGCTAATGTTTTTAATCTCTTTGTATTAAGAATATTTCTCTAGCACATTATTCAACTTAGATTTTACTCAATAAGTTAATTTAAAACCTGTGACACCAGACAGCAAGTTATCTGCTGTCAAAATGCAACAGTGACACTCACATATAGGATAGACATTCCTATTCTGAAAAAGAGAAATTGGAAGTTAAATAGAAGTCTTAGAGCCAAAGCAAACTTGAGCCTGGCAGGGCAAGTTTCGTTAGATTTCAGGACTTGAGGTCCTCTTTGGCTTGATATCCTGACCTCCAGTCCATAAAGGTGGTGGCCCCTCTTCCTTTGTTCTGTGCATGTATCTTGCATTTCTTTATATCTCTGATGGTGCCTTCAGGATCATTTACAAAATGTTTGACATGTTTTATATATTTATAGTTTAATTCTTAAAATGTTATTTTTGTTTTTATAAATATTTTCTCAGTTTACATTTAAAATGTAAAAAAAGTAGAACTTTAAGCAGGGTTTCCACCATAAATATTAATGTTGAAAAAATATATATCAATAGCTTTTCTGTCACTGTTAATGCTTTTTAAGTATTTTTAAATGAAAAATATTCTCCAAAAAATTAAATTATAAAAATCTCAGAATCTCAATTATTGTGGAAGAATTTTATTAAAATTACTTTAAAATCCAGACCCGACCTCTAAGTATTTGGATATCTCTGTGAGACCTATTGTGCTTGTTTATAAAAATCTGCAACATTTTAACAATATCAATTCTTCCCAAATGTATTTCATTGTATTCTAATCAATACAATTAGTTAGAACTTTTGAACCTAGCCAAATAGATCAACTGAAAGGAAAAACAAACTTAAAAACTTGCTTATTTTGAACATGAACATACATGAAGACAAGAATTGTTTCACTAGTTGTTTAAAATTATCATGAGGGGACACCCAATAAAACAAGATATTTTAAAGGAATTCAGTGAAAGACCAATGGAAAAGAAGAGATAATGTGGAAACCTAGCCTCCCCTGCACTGGCTTCTGGTATAAGATGTTGACCCTCCTTCCTTGTGTGATCCCGTTGTTTCCTCCACACACCCTGGTTCTCAAAACCATGATTTCAGGACTGCCTTCTCTTATGACCTCTGGATTCGTGTATACACTAGCCTTGCATCATCTTCATGTAGATGTGTACTGGGCAACTGGAGTCCCAAATTTCAGTTTCAGCGTTCCATGCCAACCTGCCCAGCCCCAATATTCCTGTGTGTATAAACGGCAATCCAACTTCACCTCCTCCACCACACCCCTTGCCCAGACACCATATGTCTCATCAGGACTAGCTCAAACCCTTTCCTGCATTCTCGCTCAAGCCTTCTCAGTGATAATCATATACCTGTTCCAAATGTCTTTCCTCTCTGTCCGTCCTCCAGTGATATCTCAGAGTGGGATTCACCGAGAAGCAAGGAGAGTCAAAGCTTTGGGGCCCTTCACTCTCTGGAGATTCTCTGAGTGCTGTCTGTTGCTGGGAGTTGTATGGTGGGGTGGGGTGGGGAGGGGAAGCCAGGCTACAGTCAGAACAGACTGTGAGCATGCCTGGTAAACTTCCTGAAGAGTTCTTAGAAGACAGGGGCCAAACATTGGCTGAGACTTCCTTTCTTTTTCTAAGTGCACATGCACTCTCTTGAGTGCCGTGTATACTTTTGTCTTCCCTTTCTTAAACACACCTCTGCCTGTCCCTGGTCCTTCTCAGGACCATCATGATTTTATAGGACCGGTTCCTTGGTTCCACTTCTAACCCCATTTTCTGTTTTGCCAACTTTCTCACCTCAGTCTGGGGCCACAGATCTTCTTGCTGCTGTTCAAACGTTGCAAGTTACTTTCAGTCTCACAGCTTTTAACTTTCTCTGTTTCCTCTGCTTAAAGCATCTCTGCCCCGTTGTTTACGAGTGACTCCATTGTTTCATTTACGGATCTGATGAAATTTCACCTTCTAAATAAAGGGCTCCTAACTAGCCTGTGTTAAATAGATTCGCTAATCATTCCTATCTCATCTCTCTGCCTTTATTTTTTATTTACTGTGATTATTAATACTTGACATTTCATTACATATTTATTAGTTTATTGCCTGTATTTACCACTAGTATATAAATGCTGTGTGGGAAGAATCTTTGTTTCAAACATCATAAACCTAGATAGTGCCTGGAACAAACAGTTACTAATTATTTTTGAAATTAATGAATAAAAGAAAATACCATTCAACATTGGAATTTAATTTTAACTTAAAAGCAATAATGTTAGCAATTCACTGCATATCACACCCAAATAAATTATTTTTGTATTATAACTCAAAGGTACCAAAAAAACCTCTGAAACTCATTAAAAGTGTAAAGGTAGATGCTTTACATAATCCCCAAATGCATAAAGACTTTGTAAGCACAAAACAGTTAACGAAATTATTAAAGTTAATATATTAAACAAAATACTTTAAAAAATTCTGATGACACAAAATATCAGAATGAAACTGAAATAAAAATATTTTAGTTGATACTATTCACAAAGAGTTACTATTTTTTTTCTTTTCTTTTTGAGACAGAGTTTCACTCTTTTTGCCCAGGCTGGAGTGCAATAGCGTGATCTTGGCTCACTGCAACTTCTGCCTCCTAGGTTTGACTGAGTCTCCTGTCTCAGCCTCCCAAGTAGCTTGGATTACAGGCACGTGCTACCACACCAGCTAATTTTGTAGTTTTAGTAGAGATGGGGTTTCACCATGCTGGCCAGGCTGGTCCCGAACTCCTGACCCCAGGTGATCCACCCACCTCGGCCTCTCAAAGTGCTGGGATTACAGGTGTGAGCCACCGCATCTGGCCAGTTATTATTTTCATACCAAAAACACATTTATATTTATGAAGAAAACATTTCAATAGAAGCAGTAGTTACATGGATAAACATGAAAAGTTATATAAACATATTAATTAAAAAAGACAAATAATGATACACCTATGAAATTGACCAAGAAGGAAAAGCACACATAATTCAGAGCTGGTGCAAGTGAAGTTTAATTCTGCAGCAAAATTTGAAGAGGCTTTTGGAAAAGTAATTCAATGTTGTATATTAAGAAGTGTGAATCACCGTATATCAAATGGTAGATTGTCTCAGGGAAAAACTGACATTCAGAGTGTATTTTTTGTATAATTAGTTTTATTTCTGCATAATTTATAATGTTGAAATTTTTAATGTCACTATTCACTCTTAGGAGAAGATTGCAATTGTGATATAATTACTCTGATAGATATTAACTCCAGTAGATACTGTCCAGTCATATACGAACACTACATATTGCAAACCGAAGAGATGTAACACAGAAGATTGGTTAGAGGTGGCAAAGGGTTACAGGGAAGGCTGGAGAAGTGGGCAGGGGAGTGTTGTCATCCAAGGACCAAGAGTCCTCACCACTGGAGCCCCATGTGCCCCTCACTGCTGAGCTGATGGGAACTCTGCACTCCAGGGCTGCTGAGAGAACCCTGCCCTGGTGATGTGCAGCAACCCAGATGCCTGCATCTCCCCAATACGACTGAAACTGCCTCTCAGGTGCTGAAGTCTGAGGCCCCCCATGGTCCCTGTTGCTTATAGCTGCTGACCCACACCCCCATCAGAAACGGAAAAAAGTAGTTTACTTCTTCCTCTCACCCTGCAGTGTCCACCCACAAGGGCCTGCACTCTCAGAGCCTTACGAAAAGTGAAGTAGCAAAGAAGTCAGGACAAACCACGTGCAGGCTGCAGCACTGTGGGTCAGAGACTCCAGCCCTCAAACGTGCACCTAAAAACAGGACATTGTCTAGACAAAGGTGGTCATGAAAAGACCTCCATGATGTAGGAAAATGATCAACATTTTTCCAGAGCACGTCTTTAGAGAAAAGTTCAGAGGAATTTGGCTGCAAGATCTAAGATGGCGGTGCAGTTTCTTCTGTCTTCTTCCCTGTTTTATTCCAACAGCCTAATACAGGGTATACACTCAATGAATATTTGTAGTTTAAAGGGAAGATATAACATGTAAAGTATCATTTTTGTCTGGTTTATTACATTAGAGTCGATTTTAAAATTTTTATTCAACCAGTTTTACTTTAGATTTTTCTATGACTTTAATGACAGTATTTAAAACAAAAACAAAGATAAAAATCAAATGCAACACTAAAGCAATAAAGATTGCAAGTGAGTGAGAGGGAAACAGACTACAATCGGTCCTAATGAAGAGGGAGAAAGATGAAGATATGAAGATGACTCCAATTTTAGTTTTAATCAAGGTACTGATTTGTGGAGGTATCTTTGACACATCAGTTGACCTCTGAGTTTCAGATTCTATACCTGTGAAATGTTAGAATAAAAATAACAATATCTTACAACATTTACTTGAATATTAAATGAAGATCACACATATATATGGAATATATTTTATAATGTGGAAAAGGCTAAGGCTGTATATGAACTAACTCCTACATTTCATAAATAAGATTTTGATGATGATGAGATTTGAGATTACTATTACTAATATTGGTTAAAAGTTTGCATTTCATAACAGAGGTAAAAATTGTAAAAGCTATTAGAAGAAAACCAGAATTGTTCAGGAGAGATACCTACTGACTTCTTTAGCTCTCTTAATTGCATTCTTCTTCAACTCCCAGAGGTGATGTATCAACCGAAAGCTTTCAACCCCTCCCCTAGTGCACACGGTAAAACCAGGCAGGTCACTTTCTTACTCCTGTTGGTGCTCTTAACCTGGCCACACACCACCAGCCCATCTAGGTGAGGTTCAAGACATCATCTGATGGTGAGTTCAGCCAGACAGACAGGAGGTACTAGCAGGAAGAAAAGGGTCATCACTGCTCTCGACTTGTTCTGCTTCTGAAACGTTCTATTAGTTCTTCACAGCATTTCCTCATTTTTTCTTTATCATCTGTTTTTAATGGAGAAAAGCAAATGTTATTCTTTCTTATAACTTCTATACAACACTTATTTACTGTGACATAATGGTAAATAGATTTTTAATTTCCAATTATTTATGGACATAATAATATATATTCTATAGTTTTAGATTTTCATACAATGATGTATTTATTTTCCTGTCACTGAAGTTTTATAGAGGAAAAGTGACTGATTTTCTTTTGAGAGGGGATGATTTCTGAGGGTTACAAAACACTAGAAACAATGTCTCAATCATTTTATGTTTCTTTGATGAAACCCACAGACAGTGGCCTAAATCCAAAGTGTAGACTGCAGAGGGAGGATGGTGTCCCTGAGAGGAATCAGGCAGAGTTACGTGCGCTGGCTCTCTCTCTCGGGCTGAGACGTGCGTTCTATCTCAGGTTAGGTGTGTGATATTAGGCAGGTACCCTGAGAACCTGCATTTTTTAATATGTAAAGAGAGAAAATAATAGGAAGTAACTCATAGGCTCTTGGGAAAGAAGAAATGTAAAGTATTAATTTTAGTATTAGTATTAGAACAATTCCTGGGATGCTGTATGCTTCAAATAAAGATTTGACTCCATTTATACTTACAATAAATCCCCAAGTTAAACATGCATTAAGCAATTTACATGAAAGTCAAACAAGCGGGTACAGAAGAAGAATGAACAGGGGGCCAGTTCACTGTGTGTGGATAGTGTTCCCTTATCTGTCCCGTGTCCTGGTTGAGCTGTTGATAGTGGCTTAATGATAGTGGCTTAATGATAGTGATGGCCATTTCCTAAAGAGCAGCAGAGATTTCTTAGGAAACCCCGCATCTCCCTGCCCTCCTGCTCCCCCTCAATTTACTGAGCAAACACCTTTTAGGTCTTCACATGTGCTGGTCGCTCCTCTGGTCCTTGCTTCACTTTGGCCACAAATAATGGACGAGGTCAGCAGGTGTGTTTTGCAGTTTATTGGAATGTTTTTAAATTGTACACAGATCTCAGCCACCATTTGCCAGTAGGGGTAGTGTTTGATACACATTATCTATCTATCTATCTATCATCATCATCTATTCATATATATACATATGTACATAAAATGTGTCTCAGATTTGTTGGATATTTATATTAAAGCACCGAAGCATCCCAGAATGTTGGAAGTTTTGGTGAGTTGAATGTCTTAAATACTTTTTGTAATTACTACAAGAATACAAAATATATTTGAAACTTGTAAATTCATTCCAAAATGTCCCTGCATCATAATCACAGCTAAAGTCTTCCCAGAAAGAGGAGTTATTATGTCCTTATTCTTGGCAAGGGCTCTCAAAATTTAACATTTAATATGTCAGAAGTTGAAAAGTTGGAAAGTTTTAATTTCTTTCAGAGAAAATGTGGAAACAGCTATTATGGATTATTTCAGAACGGCCAGATATATTTTGTGTCTATTGCCCTTATTTATTTTGTAACTATTTAAAAATTCAACTTCAAATCACATTTACATAATAGTTGTTCCCTGAATAGACTGACTGTGACCTCCTTAAGTGCACTCAAGTTCAATTTTTCTTTGATTCATCTTCTGCATATAACACAGAGGCTGTGAGTATCATGATAGAGAAGGAAACAGTGAGTTGAAGTCAGAGGCGATTCATCGTCAGTATAACACAGGCTGTGAGTGTCACGGTAGAGGGAGAAACAGTGAGTTGAAGTCAGATGCCTCAGTGTTGTTTGATTTTCCTCCCTGCTTCTCAGTTTGTATGAAAGATTGATTGTGGCAAGTAATAAAGCACATGAGGTTTGCAAAAACAACTAAAGCCTTGTCTGATAAACAGCAGTGACCCTCCAAATTCTAGTTCTTCCTCGCTGAGATTTAATGAGCTTTAAAATGAGAGGAGCTTTAAGGAGATGAGGTTGGAGGACCACATACTAGGCAGGAAGGACATAGGAGTCTCCAAAAAGCTCTGCATAACCAGGGTTAAAATAAGAAATGTTATAGTTATATATTCACCTGTGTATGTTTACATAAATATATTATATATATTTATATAAAACCAGAGTATTTACACATAAACACACAAATATAAAATCCAAATTGTTTTTTTTTAAAGTGGGTCATATGCTTTATTTTGCAGAACTTCTGCCATTTTTATTTTGAAAGTCAGCTTCTTAAATGTATGAATAGGTACTGAATCTGGAGAATGGAAGTAATATATCTTATATAATAATAGTAGCAACAATCTCTTAGGTTGTGCAGAATAGTTAGCTTAAAGAGTTAACATCTACACTAAGAGTATATGTGTTTATTCATCGGAAACTGTACTATTCTAAGCACTTTCATTACATTTCCTCATTTTACCCTCACCACACCTGAGCTCAAACATGATTTTTATCCTTTTTGATGTAGATTGGAGAAAGGAATGGCAGACAGAGAAAAAGGTGGACCCATAGCTGGAGTCTACTGTGTGTGGGCTCCTCACTTCACGTCTCTCGATGTCTAAAGGGTCAGCTGTGTGTGAGGACCCTTCCCTGCTCATGAGAATGTGAGGCTCGCTCCACGCAATCACAGAGCCTCACAGCATGGCCTGATCCTATGGGAGGAGGAGGTTCAAACATCTGGCATAATTTTTTTTCCAAGTTACGCTTTAGTTACTTGCTAAATCTTTCTTATATCATATATACCTCTGAGTATTTTGAAGATGCCTATTGTTTCTTAAACCAGCGATGTTGATTCAATTCAGCTGTCTATGACAAAAACTCTACAATAAGGAGTTTGCTTTATCTTTCTTTCAATGAGTCACTGTTTGTGTTAGCAGAGGAGGGAGGTTCTGCAAATTTTCAGTACTTGTTGATAAATGGCATTATCATCAGGAAAGTTTATGAATTTGAACCGTGACAACCTTACTATCAGTTACCAATTCTTCTGGCCTATAGTTGTGAATTCTTAGTTTGTTTTGTGAATTTGTTATATGTCATTTATATACTCAAATCCCCAGACCCACGGGACTCAGGTTAGCACAATGAGCATACACAAATGTGAGTACTCACGAAACACTCATTACAAAGGGACGCGTTACACTGACTCCAAAACTCTCCTTGGTGGCCTAGGTGAAACCTCATGGCCAACATCACCAGGATGGCCAACCACACTGGAAAGTTGGATTTCATCCTCATGGGACTCTTCAGACGATCCAAACATCCAGCTCTACTTAGTGTGGTCATCTTTGTGGTTTTCCTGAAGGCGTTGTCTGGAAATGCTGTCCTGATCCTTCTGATACACTGTGACGCCCACCTCCACAGCCCCATGTACTTTTTCATCAGTCAATTGTCTCTCATGGACATGGCGTACATTTCTGTCACTGTGCCCAAGATGCTCCTGGACCAGGTCATGGGTGTGAATAAGGTCTCAGCCCCTGAGTGTGGGATGCAGATGTTCCTCTATCTGACACTAGCAGGTTCGGAATTTTTCCTTCTAGCCACCATGGCCTATGACCGCTACGTGGCCATCTGCCATCCTCTCCGTTACCCTGTCCTCATGAACCATAGGGTCTGTCTTTTCCTGGCATCGGGCTGCTGGTTCCTGGGCTCAGTGGATGGCTTCATGCTCACTCCCATCACCATGAGCTTCCCCTTCTGCAGATCCTGGGAGATTCATCATTTCTTCTGTGAAGTCCCTGCTGTAACGATCCTGTCCTGCTCAGACACCTCACTCTATGAGACCCTCATGTACCTATGCTGTGTCCTCATGCTCCTCATCCCTGTGACGATCATTTCAAGCTCCTATTTACTCATCCTCCTCACCGTCCACAGGATGAACTCAGCAGAGGGCCGGAAAAAGGCCTTTGCCACCTGCTCCTCCCACCTGACTGTGGTCATCCTCTTCTATGGGGCTGCCGTCTACACCTACATGCTCCCCAGCTCCTACCACACCCCTGAGAAGGACATGATGGTATCTGTCTTCTATACCATCCTCACTCCGGTGCTGAACCCTTTAATCTATAGTCTTAGGAATAAGGATGTCATGGGGGCTCTGAAGAAAATGTTAACTGTGAGATTCGTCCTTTAGGAAATTATAAAGTAGGAAATTTGGATATAAAGATTTATTTTCCTTTTCTCTACCCATCAGATACTTAGGATTTTATCCCTGTTATTCCTTAGACTCTCATACAATGATGCCTCATCTCATATTCATCTCATTTTGAGGAATTCTTTCACTGTGTGGAAACTCTATTTTATAGTCTTTGTCCATCCAAAATTCTTTTACAATTGTGTTATACTAATGTAACATTTTTGGAAGTTGATAACTGTTCTCTAATTTTGTGAAAAAATATTCTTAACCTCAGGAAATACTTAATATTTAGAGACAAAAAGGTCATGAGGTGTTCAAATGATGAGAGGGAAAGAGGGAGGGAGATAGAGAGGGGCAATGAAACAAACTGAGTTCAATGTTGCTGCCACACATGAGTATGGGTAAAGGGTATATAGGTATTAATTGTACTATTGTTTTTTAATGATTTTTGTGAAGTTGAAATCATTTACAAATAATTAAATACCAGGCTTTTCTCCCTTTTTGAAAATATTCTCCTTTCTGCTTGGTGGCAGTGTGACATCTTAGAAATCATGCTCATTTCATTATATCTAATCATTACCAAGAAAATCCAGTCATCGCCCCTTCTTTATTGAGGGCTACATTTTTCTGCATGGTCCAATTCTGATGGCGTCTAGTGGATTTATCTCTCCGAAATAATTACTGCCATGTGGTGTATTGAGGATGTAGGACCACATAAGTGACTGCAGAAAAAATATGACACCTGAGTGGAAGGAGTTTTAAGGAAGGTTACCTGCCCAGGGTGATTCCTGAGCTGAGATTTCAAACATGTAACTTGTTATACAAACAAGCAGAGGGATGGCATCAACATTCAATCCTTCATTTATTTAACAAGCATTTTGTACTATTTTATAATTAAAAATAGTTAAATAAGATTAAATTTTGAATAGCACATGGCTTTTACCAAGGAGTTTGAAAAATACATGTAGTTGTTTATGCAAACAAATGTAAGAAAATAAATAAGCTGTTTTGATACTCGTGTGAAGGGTGCAGCTCATAAGGACACACTAATTCTATCTGTGACATCTGAGTTCAAACAAGGAGCTGAGAGGAGACTCCGGGGCTCAGTGCTGAATAGTGACGAAAAGTTACCCTCAGATGAGTGTGTGATGTTGGAGCCAGGGGAACTTGCTGAGACACGCTGCAAGGGAAAAGGCACAGCATGAGCAAAGACAGGGCTGAGCAAGCGAGAGAGATCAATGCCCAGTAGATCTTTCTTATTTCATGTTAGGCTTATTTCTTGCCCTTGTGTGGCCCAGGGTTTTACAAACAATAGTGAAATGATCAGATTTGTATTTTAGAAATGTTATTTGTGTGGTGATCAATTGGAGATGTGCAAGACCAAAAACATAGAGACCAGGTACATGAGAATGGTAATCTAAATGATGTTGATCTAAGTGGAGTCGACCATGCCTTTACCCGAGAATAGGCTGATAGGAGGGCATTTGAGGTGGGGCCTGCTGAACCTGTTACCTAAAAGCATACATGTGGTAGCTGCATGCTATAACTTCCTAATTGGCTATGTACAACTTGCGAATAATCAGGTGTTTTCAACAGTACACATTCTTCTTTTCTCTCACCACACTCAATTATTTTATGACTATAATATAAAGATTCTGTAGTGCTTTGGAAAAATATGAGAGAACTAGTTTTTAATATTTTTCCTGAACTCAGACAATATAAAATGCATACTCTAACTTTGTATGAATTAAAGAGCATTTGTCAACTCTCAATTTGCTGGATTATAATTATAGACACATTTGATGGTTATCTTTAAAACATCCTTGTGAAAGGAAATGTAGCAAAATTTCATGAAAAATGATTTTTGTAGAGCTTTATTGTGCTAAAAATTGTTAGCTGCCTAAAATAACCTGTTATAATATGTTGGTAAGTCTCGTGGTAACTACAAAGCAAAAACCTGTAGTAGACATACAAAAATTTTTAAAAAACAAGGAATCAATGCATACCACTAGAAAAAACATCATTTAACCGTAAAAGAAGATAGTAAGAATGGAAGAAAAGAACAAAGTCTCTAGAAAACAACTGGAAAACTAACAAAATTGTAGCATTAAGTCCCTATGTATCAAAAATTATCTTAAATGTAAATGTATTAAATTATCCAATCAAAAGATATCTGGTGGCAGAATGTATAAAAAATGCCAACTACAACAGGTTACTTTAACCTGCAAGGACATATGCAGACGAAGTGAAGTGGTTGAAAAGGATATCCCATGCAAGTCGTAACCAGAAAAGAGCAGGAGTAGCTATGCTTATATCAGATAAAATAGACTGAAGTCCAGAACTGTAGAAAGAGACAAAGAAGATCATATATAATGATTAAAAAGTCAATTCAACAAAAAGTATATAATAATTGTGACTATGTATGAAACATTAACCTAAATACATAAAGTATTAATAGATCTAAGGGGATAGATAGCAATAAAATAATACTAAGAAACTTCAACACCCCTCTTTCAGCCATGGAAAGACTATCCAGACAGGAGGTAAACAATGAAATAACAGCTTCAAGTTGCACTCTAGGGCAATGGACCTAAAAAGCATATGCAAAACATTTTATTCAGTAGCTGCAGAATACACATTATACTCGATTGCACATGAAACATTTTCTAGGTTAGATCACATGTTTGACCACAAAAAAGTCTTAAAGATAAGAAGTTCAAAATAATATCAATCATCTTTTCTGATCACAGCAGTTTATAAACGAATGCAAGAATTCTCAGAAAGTTTACAAATAAATGGTGATTAAATAATATGCTCCTAAACAATAGATGGGTCAATGAAAAAATTAAAAGGGAAAATAAAAGGTTGTTTGAGACAAATAAAAATGGAAAACTCAACATACCAAAACCTACAGGACACAGCAAAAGCAGTTCAAAGAGGAAGTTTATAGTTTATAGCAATGAATGGCTACATCAATAAAGAAGAAAGACTTCAAATAAGGAAAGGTAATATTGTACCTTAATTAACTAGAAAAACAAGAATAAGCTAAACTCAAAATTAGTAGATACATTAATATTGATTAGAGGAGAAATAAAAAAATGATAAAAACAATGCAAAACATCAGATGAGTTGTTTTGTGAAAAAACAAAATAAACTAGACTAAGAAGGTTCAAATCAGAAATTTACAAAGGATATATTACAACTGAGGCCACAGAAATACAAAAGATTATGAAAGTATAATGAATAATTGCATGTCAAAAATTAGATAAGCTGGAAGACATGAATTGACTGATACATAAATCCTACGATAGTAAATCTTAGCAAACCAATAATGAATAATGCAGTGAAGTAGTAATAAAAGTCTCCCACCAGAAAAAAAAAAAAAAAAGCCCAGGACAATATGGACTCATTGCAAAATTCTATCAAAAATTTAAAGAACTAATACCAATTATTCTCAAACACTTCCAAAAAATTGAAGAAGTGGGAATACTTTCAAATTCATTATACAAGGCCAGAATTATCCTAATACCAAAGCCAGAGAAGGACATGGGAATGAAAAAGGAACTACAGGTCAATATCATTTGGGAACATGGATGTAAAATTCCTCAAAAAATGCTAGAAAACTGAATTTAAAAGCACATTTCAAAAAGCATTCATCATGATAAAATGGGATTCATCCCAGGGATGCAAGGATGCTTCAACAGATGCCAATTAATAAACATCACATAGCACAGTAACAGAATGAATGATACAATTTTATGATTATTTAGGTGGAGAGAAGCATTTGACAAAATTCCAAAACTCTCAACAAATTAGGTATACAAGGAATGTATCTCACCATAACAAAGGCCATATATGATAAGCCTACAGCTGACATAATACTTAATGATGAAATGTTGAAAGCTTTTTCTCTAAGATCCAGCAAAAGACCAGAACGGTCACTCTTGCCACTTTTATGTAACATAGCACTGAAAGTCCCAGCTAAAGCAATTAGGGAAGAAAAATAAATAGAAATGTAAATAGGAAAGGAAGAAGTGACATGTTTCTGTTTGTTAATAAAGTAATATTACATATAAAAAAACATAAAGCCTTCAACAAAAACTATTCCCTAACAAATTCAGGAAAGTTTCAGGAAATCAACAGACAGAAATTGGAGTTTCTATACTCTAACAGCAAACTGTATCTTTAAAAAGTTAAGAAAGACTCATAGAGAGGAGTTATAGCAACAAGATAGATGAATAGAAGATCCTCCAGCATCATTCATCCACACCCACAAAAATAGAACTGGAAACTATTCAAAAACAATAACATCCTGAATTCCCATGAATTCAGGAGAGAAAAAAGAGAAGCTGTGTCTGGTCTTAGAGCAATTAGGTAAAAGAAGGAAACAAAGGCCTCCAAATTGGAAAGAAGGAACTGAAATTTTCCCTGTTTACAGATGACATGGTCATATATTAAAAAAATCCTAATGACACCAGCAAAAACTGTGAGAACTGATAAATGAATTCAGTAAATTTGCAAGATACAAAATCAACATACAAAATTAGCATTTATATATGCCAACAGTGAGCAATCTGAAAGAGAAATAAGGCAATCCCATTTACAAAAACTAAAGTAAATACAAAATAACTAGGAATAAATTTAGCCAAAGTAAAAGATCTCTTCAAGAAAAACTATACAACTCTAATGAAAGAAATTGAAGAGATCACAAATAAATGGAAAGATTCCCCATGTTCGTGGATTAGAAGAATTGATATCATTAAAATGTCCATCTACCAAAAGAGAGCTACAGAATTAAGGCAATCACTATCCGAATACAAAAGATATTCTTCAGAGATAGAAAAAAACAATCCTAAAGTTCATATGGAAGCAAAAAAGACTCCAAATAGCCAATGCAATTCTGAGCAAAATGAATGAATATGTAGGCATCATACTACCCGATATACTACAAGCTATTAAACATCAAAAGAGAATGGTACTGGCATAAAAGCAGACACACAAACAGAAGAGAACCCCTGAGAGTCCAGATATAAATTCACTCATTTATAGTCAACTGATGTTTGACCAAGTTGAAAAGAACATACACCAAGAAAAGCACTACTTCCTCAATAAATGGTGATGCAAAAAATGCATATCCAAATACAGAATGAAACTAGACACTTATTTCACTATTTTAAACTCAAATTGGATTAAAGACTTTAATATCAGATCTTAAACTGTAAAACTTCTGGTAGAAAACACAGGCAGAATGCATCATCACTACATTGATCTGGGCAAGAATTTTTAAAGTAGAACCTCAAAATCACAGGGAAAAATTAAAAAATTAAAAAATGAGATTACATCATACTGAAAGGTTCTTCACAATAACGAAAACAATTCACAGAGTGAATAGATAACATACGAGTGGGAGAAAAGATTTGCCAACAATGCATTTGACAAGGGGTTCATATCCAGAATATATAAAGAACTCAAGTAACTGAGTACCAAAATTATCCCACAAATAATTTGATTTAAAAAATGGGCAAAAGACATCAAAAAACATATTTCAAAAGAAGACATACAAATGGCTAGCACGTATATGACAAAGTGCTCAACATCACTAATCATCAGGGAAAGGCAAACTGCAATGTCTTGGATGGACATGGTATCTTTCACTTTGAAACTGGAGTCCTGCAGGCCATTTTGAATATTGTTCATGTTTCCTAACACACCCAAGTTGGCAGAAGACCCCCTATTTAGGTCTAATACCTGCTGTTTATGCTCAAATAGGCCCAGGCAATACAAGTTTTGGCTATGACTCCAGTTATGTATATTTCTGGAAGAAACAATAGATGGGTATAAAATAAAGTATGGTAGAGTGAAATCATCATACCTGTACAGGAATGTAAATTTGGAGGTCATTTTTCTTATCAGGACACATCACACGGGGAATGTGTTTCTTTAGTAAATGTTGTGTACTCCTTTAGATATACTTATAACAAACCAACGATGCATGGCATCAGGATAAGTTTAGAAATAATTACTAAACGAGATTCCATAGGGTAGAGACAAGAAATTAGATTTTGCCTATGTTCAAGTGGGAGAATACCCATTTCAAATACCCAAGATTATAGAAGAAGGAATGAAAAAGTTTCAACTTTAAGCTGCTGAGGGAAGCTTGAAAAGAATTTAGTCTGACATTTGATATTCTTTATAACCATGTGACTAATTACTCAGATGGTACTTAGGAATTAAGAAAAGTCATTAACCTACAAAAAGCCCGAAGTATAAGAAAACACAGTTAAAGGTGTGTTTTTTAATTGTCTTTGCTGGATTCGGTTAGTTCAATAGCCTTGTCTTCAAGCTCTGAACTTGTTTCTTCTACTTGTTTGATTCTATTTCTGAGATTTTCCAGTGTATTTTGCATTTTTCTAGTGTGTTCTTGATTTCCAGCAGTTGTGATTGTTTTTTATTTATGCTATCTGTTTCTCCGGAGATTTTTCCATTCATGTCCTGTAACACATTTTTAAATTTAAGTTGGTATTCACCTTTCTCTGGTACTTTGTTGAGTAGCTTAATAATTGACCTTCTTAATTCTTTTTCTGGCAATTCAGAAATTTCTCCTTTGTTTGAATCCATTGCTGGTGAGCTAGTGTGATCTTTGGGGGTGTCAGAAAACCTTGTTTTGTCATATTTTCAGAATGGTTTTCCTGGATTTTTCTCATTTGGGTAGACTATGTGAGAGGGAAGTTCTGGGGCTAAAGGGCTGCTGTTGAGATTCTTTTGTCCCATGGGGTGCTCCCTTGATGTGGTGCTCTACCCCTTCTTCTAGGGATGGGGGTTCCTGAGAAACAAAGTGCAGAGATTGTTATTTCTCTTCCACATCTAACCACCCAGCGAAGCTACTGTGCTCTGGTACTGGCTGGTACCGGAGAGTGTCTGCAAAGAGTCTTGTGGTATGATCTGTCTTCAGGTCTCTCAGCCATGGATACCAGCACATGCTGTGGTGGAGGGAGCAGGGGAGTGAAGTGGACTCTGTGAGGGTCCTTGGCTGTATTTTTGATAAGTTTGCTGGTTGGTCTCCAGCCAGCAGTTGATTCTTTCAAGAGTTGCATCAGCTGCAGTAGTGTAGGGAAGATACGAGCTTGCCTTAGGGTTACCTGGATAAGTATCCAGATTTCTCAGGCAATGGGCCGGGCCTCAGAGCTCCCATGAGATTATGTCCTTTGTCTTTGGCTCCCAGGGTGGGTAGAGAAAGGCCAAGAGGTGGGGGCAGTGTTAGGCGTGTCTGAGCTGAGACTCTCCTTGGGCGGGGCTTGCTGTGTGGCTGCTGTGTGGGATTGGGGTGTGGTCCTCAGACTGATGGAGTTATGTTTCCACGGGGATTATGAGTGCCTCTGCTGGGTCATGCAGGTCACCAGAGAAGGGGGGGAACGGGCAGTTACATGCTTCACTCAGCTCCCAGGCAGCCCAAAAGGCCAGTCTCACTCCCACCTTGTGCCCCCAGTAGCACTGAGTTTTTTCCAGGCAGCTGGTGAGCAGGGCTGAGAACTTGCCCCAGGCTACAAGCCCCTCATGAAGAAAGCAAGCAGGGCTTTTAGGTTTCATGCCTCTCTGCCTGCCTCAGCTTCTGAGCTTGTATCTGCACTCCCAGTTTGCCCCCTCCCCCAGGTTCTGTCCAGGAAGCTTCACGTTAGTCAAGATTATTACAAAATTCATCTGAAAGCTTGCTTCTCCTTGTAGTCTTTCCCCAATTCCACTGGCAGCCCTCCCAAAGGACCCCTGCAAGACAAAGTCCGAAATGGTTTCCCACAGGGCTCTTCTTGTTGTTTCCTCTACTCGAATATTTTGCTTGGCTCTCTAAATTCCTCTTAGCTCCGCGTAAGATTAAATCCTTTTCCCACCATGTGGACCGTCAGGTTCCCCAGTGAGGATCTGTGCTTGGGGGTGGAGCATCCCCCTTTTACACTTTCACACATTTTGGCACTCAGTCTTTGGCACGGAGCCTACAGTGGCCGCCACCTCCTTCAAAGGGTCTTTGGATTCTCTTGGCTTTCCTGGTATGTCCTATGGTAGTTCTTGGAGCAAAAGTTCACAGCGTGAATCTCCACATGCTGCTCTGTCCATCCAAGTGGGAGCTGCAAGTTAGTCCTGCCTCCTATCTGCCATCTTCCTCTTCTGGAGTCCACGAAAAGGATTATAAACAAACTATTTTGTTGGGAGTAATAATGTGGTCCTGGCCTAGTGTGAAGTGAAGCTCACTCCAGGCCATTTCTCTCAAGCTGTGTTAATTTGTACCCTTCAGCAGTTTATGAGAGGTTCATTTCCATAGGCCCCCACATCTACAACTAGGGGATTTCATATATCTAATCTGAGCAGGGACATTGGTTCTACATGGAGACAGTGCAGAGATGAGCTGTGCTTGAGGCCTCACCTGTAGGTGGTAGGGTCTAGACCGGGAGACAGGCATTGGCCAACAGAAATAAAGGACACAAAGTGATGTCCTTCTCCACTCACTTCAGCTTTTCTTCAACACTATTTCAGATGCTTCCTTCCTGGCTTAGCTCTTCATTCAAGGTGAGATATTATGGGAACAGGATTGTGGGGGCAGGTGGCCCCAGGTATGGAGACTAAGGGGAGGTGTACATGGCAAGAGAGAAGCCAGAATATGGGGATGAGAAAGGAACAAGCTGTCTGTGGTAGTCATCCATGATTGAGATGATGTGTGGACCCTGAGTCAGACTACCTGGTTCAAATGCAGGCTCTCTACTTTTTACCCATTTGATCTTGGCCTGTGGCTCTCTACTTCTTATCCATTTCATCTTGGACTTGTGGCCTCTCATACCTCATCTTCCTTACAGTCCTCCATATGAAATCCCCCTAAAGTAGGAACAAAGCTTTGGCCAACTGCTCCTCCCATCTTTCCGTGGTCTTTACTTAGGAACTGTGTGTTTAATATACGTGACACAGGGTTTCTCCCACATCCCTGAGCAGAAACAAGCTGTGTCTGTATTTTGCACTGTACTCACCCCCATGCTAAACCCCCTCATCTACATCCTGAGAAACAAGGATGTGGTGGGGCTCTTCAGAAAGTTCTGGGAACACATCAAGTCTCTAAACAGAACACATAAATATCAATGTGGAAAACAACGGTAGAGGGCCAAGATGCAAAGACTTCAGGAGCATCTCATTTTCCAGCATGAGGAATGTTGCTCCATCGTATGAGAAAACCATTTGGTTCAATTTAATTTGAAATATTAATTTGCTCATAAAAAGCTTAAGGGCTGGGTGCGGGGGCTCATGCCTGTAATCCCAGCACTTTGAGAGGCCTAGGCTGGCAGATCATTTAAGGTCAGGAGTTTGAAACCAGCCTGGCCAACATCGTGAAGCCCTTTCTCTACTAAAAATAGAAAACTTAGCCAGGCACGGTGGTAGGTACCTGCAACCCCAGCTACTTGGGAGGCTGATGTGGGAGAATCACTTGAGCCCGGGAGGCGGAGGTTGCAGTGAGCAGAGATCTCACCACTGCACTGCAGCCTGGGACACAGAGCAAGACTCTGTCTCAAAAATAAATAAATAAATAAATAATGAAAAGCTTAAGAACTTTTTATCTAGTTTCTAACCATTGTTTCAAAATGGCTGAACTCAACTGTGTTTCTCCTTGAAGCTAGATGATAAGCATAGACAAAGTTCCAGTCTTCTCTCTTTTTACCTGCTTTAGCCATTTCTCAGTATCCTTTGAAGCTCAACTCTGTCCAGGTATTGCTAATCTCCATTGTTGTAAGCATCAGCTTCCTAGGAAAGACAAAAGTGTGATTTCTCAGGGGCAATAATAACACAATAGATTTTCTTTTCTCTTGATTGCTCTGGAAATCCCAACATGTTGGCTCTATTCTCTTATCCTGTCTCGGGTGGAAACTTCTGGTGATTCTCAGATAAGCAATAACTCAGCTGATATATAATACAAGAAGATTTTCTCTTCTATAATAAATACAGCAAGCCTTGAGTAATAGTACGTAATCTGTGGGTGAGCAAGGAACAATAGGCTTCTCTCTTGACTTTGTAAGTTCCTCCCATTCTCACTAGCTCTAGATGCTTACTCTTCCTCGAGTCAGTGCAGGTGGAACTCAGGGGATAGAGTGGAAGTAGGGGCTAGAAAAGCCCTACCTACCTTCCACCAATACAGAGAAGCTTCCCTTCAATTTTTGGTGGTTTGATTATAATATGTCTTAGGGGTAGTTTTGTTTGGATTGAATCTGATTGGTTACTTTTTACCTCACTGTACCTGGTTATTTATATCTTTTTCCAGGTTTGAAAAGTTTTCTATTATTTCTTCATATAAGCTTTCTACTCCTTTATCATTTCAACTCCCTTATCTCCAATGACTCAAAAATTTGCTGTTTTGTTGCTGTCCAGTAAATCTCATGTTTCCTTTATTATTTTTCATTCTTTTCTCTTCTCTATTTTCATATAACCTGTATTTGAGTTCACAGATTCATTGGCTTGATCCATTCTGCTGTTGATGGTCTCAACTGCAGTTTACATTTTGTTCATTATATTTTGCAGCTTTAGAATTTGTTTGATTTTTAAGTTATTCCAATATTTGCTAAGTTTATCATTGTGGTCATATTATTTTTATCGTTTGTTTGAATAGTTTCTGTGTATTTTCTTGAAGTTTGCTGAGCTTCCCTAAGACTGTTATTTCAAATGCTTTGTCAGGTAGTTTATGCATCTCCATTTGTTTGCTTGGTGATGTATGCTTCCTTGATTTCTCTTGCGTCTGCAGTCATGCATCTAATATAATAGGTACTTATTCCAGTCTTTGCAGACTTGTTTTATCCTGAAACATTCTTCAATAGTAAGCCTGTCTAGAGATTCTGAGCAGGTTGTCTGGTGTGGTCCCTAAGCTCTAGTTTGCTGTGGTGGGGGCAGCCCTAGGTGGTGCCCTAAGCCTGGGACTGCCACGACTGGTGCAGTGCAGTGCTGTAATCCCATGGCCACTGGAACTGGTGTGGGTCCCAGATGATATCCTGTGGCCACTGGGGCTGGTGCAGCACTGATGCAAGTCTGAAGCCCATGTTCACTGAGGCCTGCCTGCCAGTGGATACTTTCCAGAGCTTAAGGCCACTCTGGGTGGGTGGCAGTGATGATGACTGCAAATTAATTCTGCTTTGCATGGTTTCTGCCTAGTGTTGGTGTAGATCTGGAGGCTCGGTCTTTGTGTACTGGCCTGGAGTCAGTGGTTGTGGGGGCTGCCTGGTTTTCAGTTTTTCTGTAGTGGGCCTAGTGTTGGGCACCAAGACCAAGTCCCACACTTACTTCCCTTTTTATTCCCCAAGTGTTTGGTATCTCTCCCTGCACTGTGCTGTCTGAGGTTGGGGATAAGAAATGCAGGTAATCAGAACTCTCCTTCCTGCCCTCTTCAATGTTTATTATTTTATCACAAGAAGAAAATAGTATAACTAGGTACAATGATCTCTCACATGGCTTTACTAGCTTTTGTGAAGGTATGTAGTGTAAGAATAGTTATTAAAATTGATGTTTCTATGGGGATACAATTGTTAAAGAATTCCGTTCTGCCAGCTTTCCCACTCTCCTCTCTTTTCACTTTTTTGATTGAGACCTTTGAAGCACAAAAATTTTGAAGTTAGATGAGGTCCAATTATTTATTTTCTTATTGCTCGTTCTTTCGGTATCATGCTAAAAAAAATGCTAAACTTAAGGTCTTGAATATTTAACTTCATCTTTTCTCATATTTTTATAATTTTACTTCTTATGTTTAGGTCCCTGATCAATTTGAGTTTAAGTATGATTTGTAATGCCACTTCATTCTTTTGTTTGTGGATATCTTCTTGTCTGAGCACAATTTGTTAAAGTGAGTATTCTTTTCCCATTGAATGGACGTGGCACACTTGTCAGATGATTATTGACCATAGACACATGCGTGTATTTCTCATTAGATTCTCAATTGTCTTCTATTTATTTATGCATATATCCTTATTCTGTTATCAGGCTTTTAAAATTAGTGTATCTTTTTGGCAAATTTTGTACTCAGGAAGTGTAAATCTTCCAACTTTGTTTTTCTATTCAAGGTTGTTTTGGATTTTGCAGTCGCTCGTAATTTCATATGATTTTTAGTGTTTTCTACTCTTGCAAAAAAAAAAAAAAGGCATGGAATTTTTATAGGCATTGTATTGAACCTGTGGATATATTTTGGTTGTATTATCTTAACCACAAGTCTCCCAATCCATTAACATGCGATGTTGTTTCATCAGTTTATGTTTTATTTGCTATTAGCAGTGCTTTGTAATTTTCAGTGTGTTGTTTAACACTACTTTAAGTTTCTTCTTGAGTAAGTGTTGGTAGTTTCTGTGTTTCCAGGATTTGGTTTTCATCTCACTGAAGGTATCTAGTTAGTATTCAATTATTTGTAATATTCTCTTATAATTGCTTGTGTTTCTGAAAGGCTAGTTGTTATGTACCCATGTTATATTCATATTTATGTATTCATGATGTAAGACTTCTCTCTTTCTCTCTTTGGTAAGTTTACCTAAAGTTTTCTATATTTTGTTGATCTTTTGAAAGCTCGAAATAGTCAAATTGTTTTTTCTATTCTGCATTTTATTAATCTCTATTCCAATACTTTTTTTTCCTTCTGTTTGCTTTGTATTGAGTCTGCTCTTCTTTTTCTAGTTCCTTAAGGTGTAAAAATATATTATTGTTTTTAGATGTTTCTTCTTTTTTTGAGTATAGGCAATCTAGCTAAAATTTTCCTTCTAAGAGTTGCTTTAGCTGCATCCTATATGTTTTGTTATGTTTTAAGTCATCTGAATATATTTTCTAACTTCATTTCCAATTTCTTTTTTGACCCACCGGTGCTTCACAGTGTGGTGTTTAATCCCCACATATGTGTAACTTTTGTAGTTCTCCCTCTATTTCAGATTTCCAGTTTTATTTCATTGATTGGAAAAGATACTTTGAATTAAATCTTTTAAAATTTAGTCTTATTTGTTTTTGGCAATTTATCCTGGAGAATGTGTTATTAGTACTTGAGAAGCATCTATACTCTGCTATTTCAGTATTCTCCACATATATATTAGGTCATTTGGTTTATAGTGCTGTTCTAGTCACTTACTACTATATTAACATTCTGTCTAAGTGCACTATGCATTATTGAAAATGGACATTTAAGTATTGAACTATAAGTACAGAACTGTTTATTTCTTCCTTTAATTCTGTCCACCTTGGCTTCATATATTTTGGGTCTCTGTTACATTCATTCATGTTTACAATTTTTATATCTAAAGATCTATATTACATTCTCCAAGGAAGATACACAAATGATCCCAAACAGTATACGATTTTTTTTTTACTTATAAAAATTTTTGTCATAAACTCACTTTGTCTCACATTAACATAGCCACTCTGGCTATCTTTCGGTTACCAACTGCACGAAGTATCTGTTTATCTTCATGTATAGTATATGATAAAATGTTATATTCACAGATAAAACAATTTAAAGTATAAAATTATGATTCAATATGCTTTTTAATTTCCTTGAACACTTTCTTTTCTTCTAAATCTATTTTCTTTATTCCTTTATAGTTTATTATTTTCATATGCTTAATAAATTCAGGAATGACAAAGTTGAAATACAACCAACTACATAGAAGTACAAAAAACCCTAAGGGACTATTATGAACACCTCTCTGCAGACAAACTAGAAAACCTAGAAGAAATATATAAATCCCTCGAAACAAGGAATTTATCTATTTCTCCACCCAAGATTATTTAACCTCCTGACATTAAGCCAGGAAGAAATTGAAATCCTGAACAGACCAATAATGGGTTCTGAAATTAAGTCAGTGATTAAAAAAAACCTACCAACCAAAACAAGCCCTGGACCAGACGGATTAACAACCAACTCCTACCAGACATATAAATAAGAGTTGGTACAAAATCTTCTGAAATTATTTTAAAAATTGAGAAGGGAATACTCTCTAAGTCATTCTGTGAAGCCAGCATCATTCTGATACCAAAATTAGGCACAAATACGACAAAAAAAAGTAAAGTTCGGGCCAACATTCCTGAGGAATATAGACACACAATCCTCCACGAAATACCAGCAAACCAAATCCAGCAGCACATCAAAAAGTGAATTCACCACGATCAAGTAGGCTTTATTTCTGGGATGCAAGGTTGGTTCAACAAGTGCAAATCAGTAAATGTGATTCACCACATAAACATAATTAAATACAAAAATCACATGATCATCTCAATAGAAGCAAAATGATTTTTCATAACATTCAGCATCCTTTCTTCTTAAAAACCCTCAATATACTGGGCACCAAATGAACTTATCTCAAAAAAATAAGAGCCATCTATGACACACCCACAGCCACCATCATACTAAACAAGTAAAATCTGGAAGCATTCCTCTTGAGAACTGGAACAATTTGAACAATTCAGTTTTCAATTTCTCATCAAAAATTGTGTTGACATGATTGATTGAAGTATTTTATCCCCCTTTCTCCCAAATACCAGGCCACAGACAGCATGAAATATTTTAAATAAACATTAAAATAAATAAGTCCAGATTGGTCATTAAATCGAGTATTTTTTTTTTATTGTATAAACTCAAGATGTACAACATGTTTTGATGTAGATATCTATAGTGAAATAATTACCACATGCTAGCAAATTAACACATCCATCACTGTCTGCAGTTTACTTTTTTGTGATAAAAACACATATAATCTAGTTATTCTCTTAGCAAATTTGTAATGTATAATAAAATAGAACTATAGTCCTTCTGTTGTACATTAGATCTCTAAATATCTTTATGTTACATAACTGTAATTTTGTCTTCTTTTACCTACATTATCCCAATTTGTCTACTTCCCTGACTCTGGCAACTGCCCTTCAACTCCCTATTTATCTTACTCAATTTCCATTTATTTTACACATAAATGAGCTCATGCTGCATTTTTCTTTCTGTGCCTGACTTGTTTCACTTGGCATATTGTACTCCATACTTTAAAATTTATTAAGCTTAAAGAATTAAACAAGTAAGCTCTAGTTGCCTAAGAAGTTAATGTACCCAGAAATATAAATTTCTCAACAATCATGGAAAATGTGTTACAACTATATCTTCTTTCAAGTAGGTCTTGTAAATATTTTCTGTATTAATACTGACTATGCTCTCGTTTGGTTGTCATTCTATTCTGAGTTTTTAACCCTCTTGTTTAACCCAATCTCTCCTCCTCAAAAATGAATAAATGCATTGACTCAAGAAACATTTATTTTTGAGCGTCTGTTTTGGAATAGGTGCTATATTTTAGGCATTGGAAAGACACTAGTGATAAAAATGGTAAAATGCTTTATCTCCTGGATCTTACATTCTATGGTAGAGAAGAGATAATAATCGCAAAAAAACTATCAGGAATGATAAACATTATAAAGAAGAGTAAAATAGGGTGTGTAGGAGATAATTACTGTTTTATATTCACTGCTCAGAGATGTCTTCTCTGATAATCAAGAGAGCAGAGAAGAGAGACCTAAATCAGTTGAAGAAATGGGTCACAACGTATCGGAAAAGAGACCACCAGGCAGAGAGAATAGTAATCTTTTTTTCTTTATTCAGTGTATTAAATGCATTGTGTTTATTGATATACCCCATTAGTTTAATCATATTCCCTCACACTTTGTTATTACCTTTATTTTAATTGCCATTTTTAAATTTTTGTGATGAACAAATAAAATTGTATATATTTATCATGTACAATGTGATATTTTAAAATATGTATATTGTGTGGAATGGGTAAATTGAGGTAATTAACATATGCATCACCTCACATACTTATAATTCTTTGCAGTAAGAAGACAAAATCAACTCTTTGCCTTTATTTCAAAATTATTTCATTGTGTGGTATTTAATATTTTCTATTTAACAAAATGTGTATATTATGTACAAATACCTATGCATAAAACATATTTTATAAGACTAAAATATCCTTAATTTCCCTCTCTTTACACAGTATCTACTAGTTTCCTAGCATAAGGAAGAACAGAAAATATTTCAGAAGATATGTCTATTCTCCTTTCCTTCATCATTCAATTGTAGCCAATATGTTTACACTAGTGCTTATCACTATTTCTTTACACTTGCTTTTATATTTTCTCCATCATCTTTATTATTTTACAATCACTCACAAGCCACGGAGCAGCCATTCAGCTTCGTCCCCATCACTCCCTTTAAATTCTCTCCTGACTCAGGGTGATTCCCATTTCACATCTTTCTGTTGGCCGATTGTCGTCTCTTTTTAGTGGGTCATCAGTTCTCTGAACCGTCATATTTCTGTTTTAAAATGTTTTCTCATTTATAAAACTGCTTTATTAAGGATTTGGGGTTGTAGAGTATTTGAAGTTTATATCAGTATTTAGCTCCGATTTAAGGCAATAATTTTGGGGTAGATTTATTTTTTTTCTATAGTATTTTTGGAAAGACGTTGCATTTTCTAATTTCATTTTTAAGAATTTGATTTGCCTTTCCAGTTGTTACCAGGTGGATTGCATAGGGCTTGCAGGCATTGGGGAATATTCTTGTTTCTCAAGCCCTACAGCTTCATTGTATGCATTCCTGCTGTCTTCTCCATGTTCATTTCTACCACCTTCCTATTCGTGGTTATGCCTGGGATGGTGACCCCCTTAGTTTAGGCAAGATTGTCCTGTTATCTCCACCACTTCTTTCCCAGGTATACTCCCTGCATCTATCTCTTCAATAATCCTCAGATTGCTACCTGGCTCCGTGTTCATCAGGCTTGGGTATAGCAGTTTACACTTGTGAGAGGACCCTCTCCTTCTTGGGGAATAATATTTCCTGGTATTTTTTATCATTACCACCACCAGTGACCTTGACTGGGTCTCTTCTCTGCCGGACTTCCTGCTTCCAATATGGAGTTTCTGTACCAATTCTGATGAGTGTCCGTGACTTTCTTCCCCTTCCTTACATGTAATTTATAGTTGATGGATTGCCTTTGTCTCCTGATTTCAGTGAAGGAATCATTTGTGCTTTTTTCATTTTTTTTGTCTTGGATGTTTATTATATCATTGGAGAATTAAAGTAGGATAAAAAGATTGGAAGACTATCTAAAAGTTTGTATCAGCAACTAGGACTCCCTTATGTATGTTTGAACAGTTTTGTTCTGTTTGCTTTTGTGAGAAATGAGATGAATTGATGTGCAAAGTGTTATTAGTTAGGGTGCCTCAATATAGGCCCAGGAAACATTGGAACACCAAAATGGATGGAGCAGACATGAGCAGAACACAAAAAAGAAATAAACAGCAATATGATAATAGTAGGGGATTATAATACCCCACTCTCAACACTCATAAACAACAAATGGACCCAAAAATAAAGACAATTTAAAAATATCCTGAGACAAACAAAAATGGACAAATAACATACCAAATCATGGGGTACAGCAAAAGTAGTTCTGATAGCTACTGAGACAGAGAGAGAAATGATCCCAAATAAGCAACCTAACTTGGCACTCTGGGAATTAGAAAAGAAGAAAAAAGCCAAAAGTTAGAAGAAAGAAGAAAGTTATAAAGGTTAGAGCAGAATTAAACAGATAAGAAAGACAAAAGAAAAGATCAGTAACACGAGGAGTTGGTTCTGTAAAAACGTGAGGAAAATTGGCAAACCTTTAGGTAGACAAACCAAGAAAACTAAGAGAGATGACTCAAATAAAACTATAAGTAAAGCAGGAGAAATTAGTCAATACTACCAAAATACAAAGGGTCATAAGAGATTATCATGACCAATTATGTCAATAAATTGAGTAACGTAGAAGAAATGGATAAATTCTTAGACATGTATGTCCTGAAGAAAGAATAAACCTGAACAAATTAATAACTAGTACAGAGATTAAATCACCAATAATAATAATAATAAACTTAAAAGTTCAGGACTTGATGCTTTTACTGGTGATTGCTACCAAATATCTAAAGACAGATTAATGCTATTCTCAAACTTTTCCAAACAATTAAAAAGGGTGCACTTTCCAACACATTTTTTCATGCATTACCCTAACACCAATGTCAGACAAGGACGGTATAAGAAAATTACAGGCCAATTTATTTTATGATCATGGATGTAAAGATTCTCAACACTAGCAAACTGAATTCAATATGTTCAAAAGATCATTTAGTTGAATGTTTTCTTTCTTCTGAAATTCTTCATTTTGCTTCCAAATGTCATTTTTCCTTATATTTTATTTTTTCATTAATCAAATTTAATTTTAAAATTTCCAACTAAAAAAATCTGTGGGTTTAATAAACATATTTTTAATTAACATTTAAAAAAAGCACAAGTTTGTAAATTGTATATTTTCTGTCCATTAGATTTTGGTTTGAGTATTGGGCCAATTGCACGGTAAGCTTTTTAATTTTTTTCCAGAAGTAATCCCAGGACCTTAAATCTCCACTGAAACTCTCGAAGTTTAATTGGTCAGCTGGGATTGTAGTCCCTGGGGTGTTGAAAGCATAAATAAGCCATACCTTAAGTCTGGACCATTTATCCCTGTAGGGAGTCCCTCTTCTCCTCTGTTCTCTTTCAGAACTACTTATTACTTTAGGTTCAGTGTATGTAGCATATGGTGACTCTATGGGTTTCAGTTTTCTGAACCCCAAATATGCAAAAATATAGAAAAAGCAGACCAGGCATCCCACCTTCTGTGTGCCACTAAGGGAGCATCTCTTCCTCTTTCTCCCCTAATAAGTTGTATATTATTTTCTCAGTATTTTAATTTTTTGCTATTTATATTATCTGAGATTTATCATTGGAATCATACAAATATTAAACCAGGAAAGATCACCCAGGAAGAAATTGAGATCACCCACAATATCAGGTATTCTAAAACATGTTATATGAAAATTGTAATAATTAAAACATGAATCACAAATCTTGCAGGTAGAAATGTCAACATATTAATTTTTTTGAGGAAGAGCAACTTGGATGAATATATGGATGTAAACTTGCTGATCAACTACAGCCAAAAATTACATTGTAATTGTAACGTGTCCCTAAACTTGACCCATTACCAATCCTGATAAGTCTGTGCTTAGGATTATGTAGATTTTCAAAGGATTGAAATGTAGTTGCCTTTTCCAAATCTTGACTAGCTTGTCTGACAAGGTAGGATCATGTCAAGTAGATTGGACTGAGGTGATCCCTTTATTTTAAAGAGCAGTCTTTGGCAAACACTGATACTAGAAACTGATATGATTTTGCTCTTGTTGAAGAATTTTACTTATTATAAATGTTTTTTAAAAACAAGGGAAGGAAACATAATCTTAAAACCACTCATTTGTGTCCATCCACATTATACTGTAGAGAAGACTGACTTTTTTTTCCAGGTGATTATTGTAGCAAAACATTTTAAGTTTTATTGAGATCGTTTGTCATGTCTAAATTTGTTCATCATAATATATCCTGAGCTTAGTTCAGTGCCTGGCTCATGATAAATTTTATTTATTTAGTGTGGTGAGAGCACTTAACAGGAAATTTACCCTCTTACACTTTTTCAGTGCACGATTCAGTACTGTGAACTCCAGGCACGGTGCTGCACAGCCAATCTCTAGGACTTCATCTTGTGTCACTGAAACCTTATACCCATTGCACAGTAGATCAAGAGAAGAAATACTTGATACACGGCACAAGACCTATAGAACACGCAGGGAAAACTTCTTCTGGCATCAGAAAACCTGTTCATTGCTGAGTTCATTCATTATATTCACCTCCTTACACCACAATGCTAACCCATGAATCTAACTGGCTGTGACAAAACTGTCTTTCATAAACCTACAGACTTTAAGATTTATGGAAAGAGAAAGACCTGTGGCATCCTAGAATTCTAACATCCACTCTTGGATCATCATGACCACTTAGCAGAGCTTTGCATTGAATTCCAGATAAAGAATATCAAACTCAAGGATATAGCAGCTCTTGAATAATGGGAAAGATAAATGAAGTGTTTGGCAAGTAGAAAGATAATCATGAAGTTCAGTCATTAAAGTCTCGCCCTGAACAAATGCCATGGACTTGACATCATAAAAAACATAAAATAGGTATAAGTCAAAAATGTTTATTTTGGGAAATTATATTTAAATCAAAATCAAAAATATACTCATCTGAAAGACAACAGAAAGTTCTGTCACCAAGGGAAATAAAACTCTAATTACCAAAACAAAATGTAAACAAAATAAAACTTACATAAATATATACATTCATGCATTCAAAAGAAGTTGCATAGAATTTTATTTAGCCATATCTCAGTATTTTGGAATTTTGCAAACACCAAGAGTCGCAATAATAATACATAATCTTCGTCTCTCACTCTGTTATTTTTTCCTCAAGCTTGGGAAAGATAATGTGTGAGTGGATAGAGTGATTCTGGGGATCGGGATGAGACAATTCTGCTTAAGGCAACTTCTCTTAGGATGGCAGGAGGTAGCAAGAGAAGAAAGGGCAGAATAACCATTACAGTTTACACCATATTTATAGCTATAATGCCTTAATATAATATGAAGTAATTACTTTCAATTACTTTTTAATAACAGAGATATATACAATATATATTCTTTAAAATGGTTATCTAAAAGTTTAAGAAATTAAAAAACCTTAATCTTAGAAATTATCTAGAAATTTAAATTTCTGAATTATAGGTAAATGTGTTATGATTTTCTTTTTTCAAATAAGCCTTACAAATATTTTCAATATTGATACTGTTTCATTTTAAATGTGCCACTAACATGATGCTGTCATTTCATTGTCATTCTAGCAGTAAGGATTCTGAGTCCTTAGCACTCTGTTTGACCCAGCCTCTCCTTCCAGGAAATGACTAAATATACTCATTCAGAGCATATTTATTTTTGAGCATCTACTTTGGGGCTACCACTGTGTTAGGCTTTCAGCACACAGCAGTGATAAAAATGAGCAAAATGTCTCATCTTATTAATATGACACTATATTGTGGAAAAGAGAAACAATTGTAAAAAATATGTTCAAGATTGTTAATTTTATGAAGAAAAATAAGACAGCATAAGGGACAGATCAGTCATTTTTATTCATTGGTCATTGAAATCTTTTCTGATAATCGAATAGCACAGAAGAGACCTAAAAGAACTGAAATAATGGGTTCTAGTGTATCTGGGGAAAACGACTCAAGGTAAAGGGAACCATCATCTTTTTCAGATGGCACTCAGAGCCATAAGAGGTTCAGATAGATCCACCCAGCAGTGAGTGCAGTGGGTTTTTCTAGGCAGAAAACACAGAAGAAACATCAAGAAATCACATGATTGGCTTGCCATGTCCAAGTCCTTTTCTAATTTTGTTTTTCTTTTTAAAGCATATTTTTTGCCTGCTACCATGACTTGTAATTTTTGATGATGTTGTTGAAAGCTGATGTATTCATTTGCTATGCGTACCATAGCATTCTGGTAGTTTGATGACAACCTTTGGCATTCCTTGGCTTGAAGTAGCATTACTTCAATCTATTCCTTTATCTTCAAAAGATAATATTCCTGGGTGCATGTCCAACTTTTTTTAAATAAGGACACCAGTTTCAAAGGTAAAGCCCAGACACTGGTTAAGGTAGTGAGGACAGATTTTAATTAGTAACATATTTTGGGGTATTTGTGGGTTTTTCACCTAAAATGTAATCTTACACAGGCTGTAGATTATATCTCTGTTTCCAGGAAGCCCCGTGTGTTGCTTTGTGTGTGCATCAGTCTCTCGAGAACCCCCTGTGAATCAGGAGGCATACGTTCCAGTGACTATAGGGAGTCGAGGGGCTAAAGAGGTAAGTGAAACATCTGGTAGGGGTAAAAGGATGGGTATATATCAAAAGTCAGGGGTGTTTAATGGAAAAGAGGTGCATATCAAAGTGTCAGGGGAGTTCAATGGAAAAAGTTAAGATGGTAAAAGAAAGAAGGAAAAAAGAAGGAAATGGGAAGGGAGCAGTCCTATAAGAGCCACTTTAGGCAGATCTTAAGATTTTCAAATAAACCATTGCAGTTCCGAATTATCCACAGTAAAGTCATTTTGCCTAAAATAGAAGCAGACATGGTTAGTGTCATAGTATATATAGAGAGTAGGAACCCAAAAGGGGTTTAACTGTGGAGTTCCTGTGGGAAGAGTAAGTTCAAATAGAATGAAGAGGTCTCACAAGAAGCCAGAGTGAACATTCCAGCACAGGAGTTAGGAAGTGAATTC